>NC_000009.12:99281158-99432673 GCF_000001405.40 Homo sapiens
CTCACAGGATATCCCCTCCCCTAAAAGTTACATGGTTATTTTACTAGCTTTTCTATTTGTTGTTTAAATTTTTTACCACTAAGTCTTTAATATAAATGGAATTTATTTTTATATGTTTTGAGATACAATTGAACTATATTTTATTTTAGATGGTTAATCAAGTCTGCCATCATTTTATTAAATAACTGATTCTTATCCCCAACAGAATTGAAATATCTTAGTTATATACCAACTTCCCATAGATGCTTGTTTCAGTTTCTGGATTCCTATACTCTGCTTCACTGACCTATTTTATTTTTCTGTGAGAAATATCTGATAAGCCATGTTACCTCTCATATAGTTTGCTATTCATAATTTTCTAATATTTGGTTTTCTCTGTAATTTTTTTAAAGAAATGGGGTCTAGCTCTGTCACTCAGGCTGGATTGCAGTGGTGCAATCATGGTTCATTGTAACCTCAAACTCCTAAACTCAAATGATCCTCCTGCCTCAGCCTCCCAAGTAGCTGAGACTACGGGTGTACACTACCATGCCTGGCTAATTTTTTTTTAATTGTTTTTTTTTGTAGTGACAGGGTCTTGCTATGTTCTCTAGGCTGGTTTTAAACTCCTGGCAACAAGTGATCCTCTTATTCTGGCCTCTCAAAGTGCTGGGATTACAGTCATGAGCCACCATGCTTGGCCCTCTATAAATTTGTAAATAGCTTGTAACCAGTTCTAAAATGGAAATGACATCATATTTATGTATTTACTCAGGGAGAAATTTCATTTTCCAAGCCTCTTTTCCTTTCTTTCTTTTTTTTTTGAGACCGAGTCTCGCTCTGTCACCCAGGCTGGAGGGCAGTAGTGGCGCGAAATCGGTTCACTGCAAGCTCTGCCTCCCGGGTTCACGTCATTCTCCTGTCTAAGCCTCCTGAGTAGCTGGGACTACAGGCGCCCGCCACCACGCCTGGCTAATTTTTTGTACTTTTTAGTAGAGACGGGGTTTCACCGTGTTAGCCAGGATGGTCTCGATCTCCTGACCTCGTGATCCGCCCGCCTCAGCCTCCCAAAGTGCTGGGATTACAGGCGTGAGCCACCGCGCCAGGCCCCCTCCCCTCCTCTCCCCTCCCCTCTGCTCCCCTCTTCTTTTCTCTTTTCTTTTCCTTTCTTTTTTTCTTTTCTTTTCTCTTCTTGGATCTTGCTGTTGCCCAGGCTGGAGTGCAGTGGCACAATCACAGCTCACTGCAGCCTCGAAATTCTGGGTCCAAGTAATCTTTCCATCTCAGCCTCAATCCTAAATTTTCTGTCCATGAATATTGTATCCTTTTATTTGCTCAATTCTTGTGATGTGTTCTTAAATAGGATTCTATGGTTTTCTTCACATAGATCTAGTTCTGTTCCGACAAAATATTGTACATTTGTAGTTATTGTTACTAAGGATTTGATGTTTCCCACAATTTCGTTTCTAACTGGTTACTACTAGCAGATGGAAAATATGTTAATTTTCATATATTTATCTTCAATCAAGCCACTTTACCAAATTCTCTAATTAATTACAGAAGTTATTTCTAAGAGTCTCTTGGGTTAAAATGGTTATAATTATATGATTTATAGATTTAATGGTTTTTATCAATATTCACTCTGATGATTTAATTTTTTTTCTCAAAGAAGGAGGACAAAAAGGTGACAGAAGGCACCCGTGTATTGTTCCTGATTTGGATGGGTGTACTGTGTAGATTTTGGGTAAATAGCCTCCTACTATTTGTTTTCTACTTAGAACTTTATTTTCAATTGGGAGAGTGTAAAATACTATTATTTTTTGTTAAATATCTTCCTAGCATCTAGCTTAATGACATATTTTTCTTCTTAAATTTGTAGATATTTGATTGTGAATTAGATTTGCTAAAAATTTTTATAAATGTTTATATATATTTATAAAAGTGTTTGATAATTCTATTTTAAATATTATATTTTTAAAAATTTAAGTTGTGCTACCACTATGAAATGAACTAGGGAACTTTTCTTTTTTATTGAGTGGAATAGTTTAAATAACATTAGAGTTATCTATTATTTAAAGGTTGGAGAGAGCTCAGCTATACCATTGGTTCTGATGCCTTTTAAAAATAGAAATTTTAATAAGCGTTCTAATGTTATCTAAAGTCTTGGTCCTTAAAAGTTGGGCTTTTTAAAAAAAAACTTATTCTTGGGTCTACTTTTGTCATTTTCATTTGGCAAAAATTTATCCATCCCTTTAGATTTTCAAACAGTTGCATATACTATTGTCTCACAATTTGATATCTCTGTCTTTATCTCCTTTCTCATTCTTCCTGCATGTATTTTTTGCTGTTTTTATTTTTCTCAATCAAGCTAGTGAGCAGTTGATCTGTTGGTGTCTTTTAAAAATACAGATTTTTACACATGGGCATAAAGATGGCAACAGTAGAACTACAGGAGGAAGCGGGACAAGGGTTGAAAAACCAACTATTGGGTACTGTGCTCAGTACCTGGGTGACAGGATCAATCATACCCCAATCCTCAGCATTATGCATTATACCTAGGTAGCAAACATGCATATGCACCCCTTGAATCTAAAACAGAAGTTGAAATTATTTTAAGGAAGAGCCGAATGGAAATCCCTGAACTGAAAAATACAAAATATACTTTTTAAAAAGAAAAATGCCTCATATAGTAGTTAAAAAAAACCCAGATTTTGAATTTATTTATGCTTTATACTCTTTTATTCTATTCATTATTTTTCATTTTTATCTTTATCAATTCATTCCTCAAACTTTTATACTATTTTGTTTTCCCTTTTTTTAGTTTCTTAAGAAAAATACTCATTTTAAGTCTTCATTTTTTTTTTTTTTAAATAAGGCATTTTCCAGATGTGAGGGTGACCTGGCTGTGACATCTGTTGCCCCATTGATGGCCACGGTTGTTTGGCTGATCTGGCTGCCTAGGCAGGTGTCCCCTTCCTCCCTCACTGTTCCATGTGCCTCCCTCCAGAAGCTACATCCTTGGTTGAAGAGGATGACCATCCCCAATAGAGGAGGACTGGTCTTCAATCAAGGGCATATGAGTAGCTGCACTCCCCTGATAGAACCTGCAAACAAGCTCTGAAAAAATGAAGGCATTTTTTAATATCAACTAATAATGTGGAGAGAGTACTGGAGTTAAATAATCATTTTGCAAAAATCATAATAAAACTGGTTCAAGCAAGAATCATCAATGGATATTAAATGTAGTGAGAACTGTGTGTAGTCATAGTAGAGAAATTGGACAACAAATAGTCCTGTATGTAGTCACAGTAGAAAAATTGGACAACACTTTGATCAGTGATCAAAATTAATGCCACCAATGAAGGACAGAAAAACAACATGTGACTCCAGATATAATACACTCAGAAGCATCATTTGTGTAGTTCTCTGGTTGAGAATGTGAAACCTAATCTTGAGGGACCATTAGACAGACTCCAACTTCTGATTGATTTTTATAAATACTTCAGTGCTCAAAAGACAAATGTGTTTTTCTATATCCATAGAACCGCAAATTTTCTATGTATTAATATGAGTTGTTTATATATATGTTTATATATTATATATATTAATATTAGTCTTATTATTATTTTGAGATGCAGTCTCGCTCTGTCACCCAGGCTGGAGTGCAGTAGCGTGATCTTGGCTCACTGCCACCTCCGCCTCCCAGGTTCAAGCAATTCTCCTGCCTCAGGCTCCTGAGTAGCTGGGATTACAGATGCGCCCACCACGCCCAGCTAATTTTTGTATTTTTAGTAGAGATGGGATTTCACCATGGTCAGGCTGGTCTCGAACTCCTGACCTTGTGATCTGCCCTCCTTGGCCTCTCAAAGTGCTGGGATTACAGCACCTTGAGATATACACCACGCCTGGCCCAATGTATATTGTTAATTGTGGTTATGTCATATAGGTCCTTGCCTTTCTTGTTATGTTTTATTTACTCTTAGGTCTATCACTTTCTGAAAATAGCATATTAAAATCTCCCACAGGAGTTGTATTTTAAAAATCAAATTCTCCATGTATTTCTATGAGTTTTTGCCTTATATTTAGCTGCAACTTTTTAGGGGGAAGAAAGTTTCATGACTTTTCATTTTCTTTATCCTTTGTAATGTTTTGAACTTAAATGCATTTTGTGTGATATACTATTGCAACTTTTGCTTTCATTTTGTTTGAATTTGTTTGGTATCCCTTTATTTTAACTTACTTCCTATCTTTTAAAGTGTATTTCTTGTTTTTTAATTCAATATATTGTACTTCAATAAAGGAATTCAGACCATCGGCATTTAGGATAGTAAATATCCTGACATGTAATTTTATGCTTCTCTGTGTTTTGCTTTGTTATTGCTTCCTCTTTTTCCTTTAATTAATTAATCTGCTAGCTTGAGTAAATTGTCATTTAACCCCTCTTTTTTCCTCTTGCTAATTTGGAAGTATTTCTCTGCTTTTCAATTCTGCAAGTGGTTACTTTTTTAGCCCCAAGAATCATCATTGAACATGTTTTATCTCTTATGTCTGATTATGACAGCAATTATCAACTTGCTCCCAACAAATTGTTTATTTACCTATCTCTCTCTAAGAGCAAAATGAAAGGAAATCATTAGAAATGCTTTATTTCTTTATTCTCAAACTTTCCCTTAATTTTCTTTTCCAGCTCTTGCTCAAATAGTTTAAAACATTTAGTTTAGGCTATTGTATTAGTCAGGGTTGCCCGGAGATACAGAACCAAGAGAATCTATGAAATGGAATTTATTAGGGGAATTGGCTTACATGATCACAGAAGTAGAGAAGTCTCCCAATAGGCCATCTACAAGTTGGAGAACCAGAGAAGCGCATAGCCTGGCTCAGTCCAGTTCCAGAAGCCTTAGAACCAGGGATGCTCCCAGTATGAGGGACCGAGGAGGCTACTCGTTCAAGTCCCAGAGTCCCAAAGCCAAAGAACCTGGAGTCTAATGCCTGACGGCAAGAGGAGAAAGATGTTTGCTCCAGCTCCAGCTCCAGAAGGGAGGTGGTGGGTGTAGGGGGGTGGGGGACAGAGAGAGAGAGAGTCCTCGTTCCATCTTCTTGTTACAACTGGGCCCACAGGGCAGGTCTTCCTTTCAGTGACTCACATGTCCGAAACACCCCCACAGACACCCCCAGAAAGAACACCCTACCAGCCATCCAGGCATCCTTTAATCCAATCACATTTATACCTAAAATTAACCATCACAGCTATTCCCTTTTCCCTATTCTAAAACCTCTTATTTAAAACTTTAAATAAAAGTCCCCATTCATATTATTCATATATGCATACACGCTTGCATATATATAATATAATATATTACAGATATATTTTATATATATGCAATATTAAGAACATTTAACAGCCGGTATTGACAGGAACCCACCTATCAGATCAGAATAAATGCCCGCTGTGACTAAGCATTCTTGTCAGTGCTGCTTCCCAGTGTTTTTGCTTAATCTACTTAACCTTCCTGCTTGAATGATTTTTTTGGTTAGTGTACTTTCTCAAGTATGTTCTTCAGCAAGGGTAGATGGATGACACACCCTAAGAATCCTTGCATATCTGCAAATATTTTTATTTTTCCATGTAGGTGTTATTCTAGCTTGCTGTATTACAGTTAGAAAATTGGGTGCTCGTCTGTTTCTGTTTCTGTTTTCTTTTTAACTAATTTCTTCTTTCTGTTGATTGTCAGGGAAAAAACAGTGATTAAACAGTGGTGAAATTGAAATTTGGGACTTTTCAAAAAATTAGGCTATGTCAAGATTTCTAGTTCTGTCTTTAATTAGTCTATTCTGGGACTAAAAAAGCTCTCCTAATATTGAAATTAATCTTTCTTTAGATAAAAAAATCCTTTATTATTTGTTTAGTTTTTGTGATCATCTCATCTGTTTCCTTCTCTTCTTCGGAAATGCTTATTACCTGCAGCTTAGGTCTTCAAGTGTTTTGCATCTTCTCCTTTCACGATTTTTGTCTTTTTACATTTGTTGCTCTGTTGTAAAGCCTACTAAGTCCATTTTCAGAAATGACTATCTTCTCTTTCAGCTTAGGTATTAAAAGTTTCGATGAGAATGCTGTATTGTTTGTACCTAAAAAGTGCTTTTTATTTTATTTATTTACTTATTTATTTTTGAGACAGACTCTCGCTCTCTTGCCCAGGCTGGAGTGCAGTGGCATGGCTCACTGTAACCTCCGCCTCCCAGGCTCAAGTGACTCTCCCACCTCAGCCTCCCCAGTAGCTGGGACTACAGGCATAAGCCACCATGCCAGCTAAATTTTGTATTTTTAGTAGAGATGGGGTTTCACCATGTTGGCCAGGCTAGTCTTGAACTCCTGACCTCAAGTGATCCGGCTTCCTCAGCCTCCCAAAGCATTGAGATTACAGGCCACTGCACCCGGCCTAGAAAGTGATTTTTATTCTTCAATTGGATCTCCTCGAGAGCTTCTCTTAGATTGCTGTTTAATATTCTCACCTGAGTCTTCTGACATCCTGCTCCAGTGGGTCCCCTGCTTGTTGAACTCTGCTGTGTCTCCTTTGTTCTGGTTATTGAATGTTGGCTGAAAGAGATGTTCTTTTCCTTAACCTGCTCATGATTTTGTCAGGTCAACTGTCGGGTAAAATCACTGGGATCTTTCCAGTGCCAGCAGGGCCTAGGCAATTCTAGTCTTAAGGGACAGTGGTGAACAAAACGGCCATGGTCACTCTGCTTCTGAGCAGAGGGAGCAAGCTTCTGCCCACAGGTCCAAGGAGCAGCTTCTTGTCACATCAGGGACTAAAAGTAGTTACCTTCCTCTTGTTCTCCTGCAGGTTCTCTGAGGCCAGAAGAGTCTGGCTGGCCCTCCCAGGACCACACATGAGTGGCCTCCTCCAGGTGTACAAGCTATCCTCTACTTGGACAGATATGATTTTTTTAGGATTTAAGAAAGTCATTGAAACTTAAAGCATCACCTCAAAGGAAAAGGGAAGGAGGGAGAAAGGAGTAAAAGAAAGCCACCAAAAGTACTGCTTGACTACGGAAGACTATAGATGCTATGTCTGTGTGTGTGTGTGTGTGTGTGTGTGTGTGTGTGTGTGTGTGTGTGTGTGTGTGTGGTGTCTATAGCAGCTATAGTGCTGTATCTAAGTCATACAAAAGTTCTGATGTGACCCCAGCTAATTCCAGCCTTCCATTAACTGAAGCCATTTGCTCCTTGACTGGTTGGGTCTTCTTCAGGTTCTGAGATCAATAGTTTCACAAGACAGCTAATTAGCCCACATTCAGAAGCTCAAGAGCTTCATCAGGTCCTGCACCAGACAAACCTACCTCTGCTGTGAATTGGAATTGAGCCTATCCCTCCCTCCATTCTGCCAGGCTTGGCCTCGTTTTCCTCTTCATATCACTTGGGGTTCAGTCAGAGAAGCAGAGCCACTTGGTGAGACAGACACAGTAAGGGGTTGGCTATAGACATTTCACCTTATATAATTGCGGGGACTGGTCTATGCAAGGCCATTATTTCTGTGTCTGGTGCTGGGGCCTGAAGTCAGCATCAGATACAGAAGTGGGGAAGAAATGATGGACAGGAAGTGGAGAACTGAGGTTAAAATGGATCGGCTGGAACTCAGGGAATGGGGTGGAATCCACACTGGTATCTCACTTCACCCAAGACTCCAACTTTGATGAGGGGGATGATTTACAGAAGTTATGCATTTTCTTATGGAACAAAAACAAAATGCTGAACTGGCCCAGGGATCAGGGGAGCTGAAACAAGAGCGTCTGCAGGAGCTGGTGGGCTTCGGGGGGGCCGCAGTTCCCAATGCTGGCCCACACCACCCAGAAGATATGTGACAATGTCTGTGAGGGCTTGTGCCCTGCCCTGGCCTCTGAACATAACAAGAATGTGGCTGCTGCTGCCTTTCCTTGTTCTGAATCTCTTGCAAAGTGTACTTGTGGCCAAAGCTGACCTGGCACGAACCAGAAAAGGGAATTCTAAGAAACACAACTCCAGCTTCACTAAATTGACACTGTAAAGCCCCCACACGTCGTGAGGCTGCAGTCTCATCATTGACTTTGGACTGAGGGCTACCTGATGGCTTTGTAGTTCACCTGTCTTCTTACTTTGTCCCAGCGCCTGTCCAGGTCAATGGAAGCAGTTTCCCTGTGTGTACCAGGCACTCCCAGCTTGGCCCTCCCAGAACTTCGCCCCACCCCTTCATGGTCTGGATTTCAGAAACCAGATCTAATTCCAGCTGAAAGTCGAGGGAGTTTACGGAAAAATCTATGTGGATGTGGGCATCTTAGAACGAGGCTTTCCTCTTCTGTTCTGGATTCATGGGGAGCTTTAGGAAGGTGAAGCTGTGTGTGAGAAGGCTTCTCAGAGATACCGTGGAGTTCAAGGCTCAGGAATCCATACTTGGGAGCATGAAGTTAATATGGATGCTGCATTCACCTGGTCCAGGAACTCCTGCTTTCCTCTCAGCCCCATCCTGGAGGGGTAGTACTGGACATTCCTGGTGTTTCGGGAGGCCAGGCATTATAGACAGCCTGGTCCAAACCTTTCATTGTTCTTCTAGAGGCATTGAGAATAGCAGCCTCATTAGGAGCAATGGCTGGAAGTAGACTGCCTAGCTTCACATTAGGGCTGACCTCGTATTAGGGCATGTGACCTTGGGCACATTACTTGCCCTCTCTATCCTTGATTTCTTCATATGTAAAATAGGGGAAAACAGTAGTACCTACCTTGGACTGTTATGCCTATTAACTGACAAGTGGGCTAAGTGTCTGGCACCTAATAAATGCTCAATAAAAAGTATTATTATATATAGACCATTTCCCCATAACCAGAGCCCTCTAACTCAAGGAAGCAGGCTATGGGGACTTCCTCCAGTTCTGGGTGGTTCTTCATCACAACTATCCCTCAAACTCATAGCTGGCTGTTGGTCACCTCTTTCCAACATGTACACCATTCTGCCTTGCACTGGAGTTAGCTGCTGGCTTGTCTGTCTTCTCACTAAACTGGCTGTATTAGTCAGGGTTCTCTAGAGGGACAGAACTAATAGGATATATATATAAAATCCTATTAATACTTAAACTCCCATATATATATAAATATATAAATAAATACATATATGAAGGGGAGTTTATTAAGTATTAACTCAAGTGATCACAAGGTCCCAAAACAGGCCGTGTGCAAGTTGAGGAGCAAGGAGACATCCAATCCAAGTCCCAAAACTGTAGAACTTGGAGTCTGATGTTTGAGGGCAGGAAGCATCCAGCACGGGAGAAGATGTAGGCTGGCAGGCTAGGCCAGTCTAGCTTTTTCATGTTTTTCTACCTGCTTTATATTCTAGCTGTGCTGGCAGCTGATTATATGGTGCCCACCCAGATTAACGGTGGGTCTGCCTTTCCCAGCCCACTGACTCAGATGTTAATCTCTTTCGGCAATACCCTTACAGACATACCCAAGATTAATACTTTGCATCCTTCAAGCCAATCAAGTTGACACTCAGTATTAACCATCACACTGGGGTTTCACTTAGCATCACTAGGAGCTGGGTCTACTTCATCCTTTCCCAGCACACAGCCTGGCAGATACTAGGCCTGCAGAAAAGTTTGGGGGGAACCAACATCTTCAATTCCCAGAACGTCTGATTTGCAAAGACTTGGAGGTTGTCTAAACCAATTTCCCACCAATTTTAGGAATTCCTCTTTTAGACCATTTTGCAGATAGTCTTCTAGTCTCTGCTTACATACTTCCCGTTATGGGAGACTTGCTATTACTCAGGGCAGCCCATTCTCTTTTTTTTTAAACCACCCTAATTTTAGAGCTTTCTAATTTTACTCAATAGGATTAATTTTTTCACCATTTGCATCAAGTTTTGGCTGGAGACTGCAAAATCATGCAGTGAGAGAGTTGGTAAATAAGAATTATTCTGGGTTTATGGATGACGTTATGAAATAGTGAAAAAGCTGACAGAGCACACAGTATAACTTTTATAAGCTTTGCTCAACTAGTCAGAAACAGGTCCTCGGAAATGTCTATTCATTTCTGCTTCCAGTGTTTATTGGGAAAATTCTTATATGGTTATTTACAAAGCCAGACAGAAGTTTATAGAGAGTTTGAAGGTAGAAGTTTATAGAAGGCTTGATGTATTTGTCTGCATGCTAATCTCCTAAAAGTCCTCATTCTGGGCCACAGTTTTGGGGAGTGGAGTAGTTGTAGTTCTTAGAGTGCATCTGAAAGTCCCTGGAAGGAAGGGGTTAGGCTTTCCATTTTCTAAGAGACAGTCTTGCTGCCTTCTGGAAGGGATGCTCAGATCTTAGGATAGGTGCCTCCCAATAACCCAGAATGCTATCTGGAGTTTAGCCAGAACATTAGTCCCCTTGGATTAATTTGGAATTCATTCAAATAGTCATTCCCTAATGCCTACTTTATGCAAGAATTTCCCTCAAGGTGCTCGCAACTGATTGGAGGTAAACAAAGACATGATAATGACTCTGGTCCCAGCCAGAAAGTTCTTAGAGCCTCCTTATCCATGCAATCTGTAGTAGAGCGAGGCCTTCCAGGAAACTTCAGAGAACCCCTCCTCTAAACCCTTTTCCAAGAGCAAATAGGTGAGATTTGGGGGAGACTATTGTGTAATAGAAAAAATACCCGAAAGGAGAATCTGGTTCCCTGAGGGGAGAGGTCCACTTGCTGCTACCTCAGTGTTCTTTTGTAAAGTGAAGAATCTCTAACATGCGTACTGGCTCTAACATGCTGAACATTTACAACTAAAAAGCAGTCACAATCCCTGACCCCCAATTGCATAGAGCTTCATGATTTCCATCCTGCTCTCATTTGAATCTAATCCTCATGGTCCCCTGAGAGGCAGATGGGACGAGGACTATGATTTCCATTCTATGGATAAAGAAACTGAGGCTTAGCTCGTGTCCAAGGTCGCGTGGCAGGGGAATGGCTGAGCCTGGAGTTCAGGTCTTTCCCCACCCACTGCGATTGTTGTGGGGCCTTCAGGTTCTGACAATCCATAATTATATAGTCAGCCTTGAAACTGCAAAACATCTAAGGGGGTGGGGGGAAGGTGACTATTAAGATGGTGAACGTAGCTTTTATGTGGAAGATATCTCAATACGAAAGCATTTGTATGGAAGGAAAGGAGGAATGTGGGCTCAGACCATCTCTGGGATAGTGGTCTTTTGTCAGTTTATTAAATTCAGATTTATTGCTGACTTTCTGACCAAAAACATAGCTGTTAGCAGTCTGTAATAAAGCAGAAATATGAATTTTCAGTGAATCTGAGAAAAAAAAATAAAGAGAAGAGACGTTAATGACCTGTCGCTTGGAATAAATCTTAGTGGTCACATAAAGTAGGATGACAGGAATTTATATTGTCCCTCAGCACTTGAATGACTAATGTGGCTAGAGTGGAGAGCCACAGAAATTACTTCTCTTAAAAAGCCAGCACCTGTTTGCAGGCTTTTGGAACTGTTTGATGAAGTCAGGGAAGGTTGCCTTGATGTCCCCCAGTCAGGCTCTTGGTAGACAGCACCAAGCTTGAGACAGAGGTGGTGTTTCAGCCCTGTCCTAAGACCTTTAACTTGGCTGGTCTCAGAGGCTGTCGAGGTTCCTGAGCTGTTCAGGGAGGACCCCCAAGAGGCTAGAGAAGATCTTCTGAGAGACATTGATGAGCAGGGCAGGGGCAGCCAGAAAGGGTCTCAGATGGCCTCAGGGTGGATGTCCATCTGAACAGGTCCCCGATCCCACCACACACTGGGATCCTGGATTCTGTAGTATCAGAATTACTAGGTTAGAGCCAGAACAGCTCCCCAGAGATTTGTTAGTTCGACACCTCCATTTTTTTCAGATGAGAAGACTGAGATTCACAGCACGGAAATAAGTAGCTCAAACATACAGGAGAAGAGAGTGGCAGGTGCAGAAGGAGAGCTCAGACATCTAGACTCCTGGGCATCACACGGCCCCTGTTAGTGTGACAATGGTCCTTCCTTATTCGAGTGTGAGTGAGTACAACCCTGCATCCCATTGATATCCAACAGATATGCCATGTTTAGTGCTGGGAATGTATGATCCCCAACCCAAACAATCCCACTAAGATACTTCCTGTGAAAATCATTATCCATCCTAAAAACCTCTCTCACTGGTATAGCGTGTTACCATCTACACCATGTTTTCACTTATGGGATTCTTGCTAAATGAGTAGATTTTCACTGCTCTTGCCACACACACACACACACACACACACACACACACACACAAATGGGTAACGATGTGAGATGATGGGTATGATAGTTTGCTTCACGTTCTCTTTATGTGATCCTCACAACCATACTGAAAAGGCACACAGAACGTCTACTTTTATTCTTTTTGTACAGATGAAGAAATTGAGGTTCAAGGAGTAAGAATCTCCTGAAGAATCCATATGTCTTTCAGTGAAATTCTGAATGTATTGTAATGAAGTACGGTTGGTGGGTTAAGTTAATGGGTTAGTCAACACCGTTGCTGGGCACCATTAAGAACACAGAAAACCTCCAGCTCTGAACCTGTACCCCCTAGCTCTGACGCTAAGACACTGCTGTCCATTATGGAAAGAAGAGATCATCAAAATGCTCTGACCTCTTCTGGAATTGCCCGGGACCATCTTTCCTCCCAGAGCCCACAGAACCAGTTCCTGGAGGTTTAAGTTAATGAAAGCCAGCTTTTTCTATAAACAGTTCACCTAAAATGTAATCTCTTTTTGAGGGTTTCTAGATCTGATTTGGGTGTCCTATTCTTTTCTGTCATTTAAAAACACACTGTAAGTATTTTAAAACCCATTCATCAAAGGGAAAACTTCTGGCTAAATTTTATGCTTTTATTCATTTATCAAATTTACAGCATTTTATGAAGAGGGATTTCTTATCTATGTAGGTGTCTTTTCTATTAAACGGTACAAAACTACCCTTTCCTCAAAATGATATGTATGTGGCAATAAATAACTGCATTAAAAATGGGAATTCCAGCCAAGTGTTATGCATGGATACACCTGATCCTGTCTTTGTAATTATGGATGATATGTATTGATGCTGGGGATTATTTATCTCATGCTCCATAATTGGCTATTAATTTATGAATATGAGGGCTATATTACAGGTAACCCAGAATGAAATGCTGCAGATTTGATTTATTGTGACCTGATAATGGGTGTTAGGGGTTATCCAAGCGACACACAGAGTACACAGAGGACACTGGAAGAAGCTGGAGTGTCGGAAGGCTTTGAACTTTGACAAATACCAGATATGTGGAAGGGTTTTAGGGGCCTGAGATTTAAGCCCATTTAGAGCTTAAAATACCTTACTAATGATGACTTTAGTAGTCATTTCATTGATTCATTCATTCCCCCATTTATTATTTTTATTTTCTTTTTGAGACAGGGCCTTGCTTTGTCACCAAGGCTGGAGTGCAGGGGCTTAATCACAGCTTACTGCAGCTTTGACCTCCAGGGCTTAAGTGATCCTCCTGCCACAGCCTCCTGAGTAGCTAAGACTACGGGCATGCACCACCACGCCTGGCTAATTTTTGTATTTTTAGTAGAGATGGGTTTCCCCATGTTGCTCAGGCTCATTCCCCCATTTCAAACATATTATGGAGCACCCACTGTGTGCCAGGCTCTGGGCTTGGCTCTGGGACACAAATGGTGAGCATAAACAGATATGTTCCTTGACCTCCTAGAGCCTATTCTCTTGTGAGAACGGCACACCTTAAGATCACCACACATTTGTATCCTTCTCCCTTTTCTTCTTATTTATAGAACACTGATATTGTTTGGGTTGACAAGATGCCCAACTAAAGAACTACATTTCCCAGATTCCCTTGCAGCTGAGGGTAGCCATATGACACGTTCTGGTCAAAGAGATATAACTGGAAACCTGCTGGTTATTTTGGTGACGTTGCTTTCCTGATAGGGTGGCTGCCTCTTCCATCTTGTTGCTTCCTTTTTCCGCCTTTCCTTAGAGAATATGAGTATGCAGCTAGAAGTGAGCGGTTATCTTGCAACTATGAGGTGGCAATCTAGAATTGTTATGTGAGAAAAAATAAGCACCTACAGATGTGGTTAAACACATGGTAACTGCATCTTTTTTACATACGACCAATGCAGTTCCTACTGTTACACTCACGTGTCTTGGGTGTGAGATTATGAGGCCAGAATTCTCTGAAGGGGTGGTAGGAGCCTGGAAAGGGTGATCCCAGCAGTGGTCAACTGCCAGGACTTGAGAAATGTGTCTGCAAGTGCTAAATAAGGTCTAGACTCCCGTGTTTCAAGGGCTACCCCGACGTACACAGCATGTTGGAGTGATCTGTAAATACTCTATCTACCACCCACATTGCACTGTGAAGTGGACACTGCCCACTTCACAAGGTTGTCACTTAGGAGGTAGAGATGGAAGAATGTGAGTGGAAGTCTCTTGAACAAAGGAAGGTGCTGCACAGAGGCCAGTTACGTTTCTTTTCATACGAAATAGTCTGAAATTAAAGACAGACAGGAAATATAATATGTATGTACATATCACATTATATATAATGAAAGCCTAAGGAAAGGTGGATTTTTTTCTTTTAATTTAGAGATGGGGCCTCGCTCTGTAGCCCAGGCTGGAGTGCAGAGGCACAATCACAGCTTACTGCGGCCTTAAACTCCTGGGCTCGAGTGATCCTCCCTCTTCAGCCTCCTAAATAGCTGGGACTACAGGGTGCAAAACTGGCTCCTGAAGGATGATGCAGAAGGCACTGGTTACAAAGGGCTGCATAAAAAGGGCACATAGATGGCGTGCCCAGCATAGCAAAGTCCTGACAGTACGAAAATGCTGGGAGCCCGCGTAGGAAAGAAACAAGCCAGGACCCAAGGACTTTCATATTTTAAAGAATGGATTGGAAACTAGATGACTGCTCAGTGTAAATGACCAATGGCAGGGTATAAGGGGTGTGTGCGTGTGTGTGTGTGTGTGTGTGTGTGTGTGTGTGTGTGTGTGTTTATGTTGAGGGTGATGTGGGGGAAGAGAAAAGCAGCGGATATAATTTTCTCCAACAGCCAGCTAAGCTGAAGGGATGTAGAGCCTATGATTCAATTTTTCAAAGCAGTATTTGTAAGGCTTCGGGGTCCAGAGCTAGAAGTGACTCTGCAGTACAAGCCTGGAAGAAATCCAGGCTCAGGACCGCCTTCCCTTTCCTCCCCAGAGCCGCCCACCGACTGTTTGACATGCACAAACTGGAGTTCTTTCCACACGGCGTGGCAGGGCCACGGAGAAACCGCTCCTGGGTAATTAGACAATTAGCTCCTTGCACTCTTCCTGCAGGAACAAATCCGGGCCCCCATGGCATCTGTCCCCTCCTGTTCCTCCAGCTGGCCTCCTTGCCACGCGCACACCCTCCCCGGAACCAGGCCCGGCTGCCTGCGCCCCCCGCCCCCTTCCACTTCCGCCACCAGAAGGGGTGCGGGGAGGCCGGGCGGGAGGGGAGGGCCCAAGGCTCGCGGGGGCGGGGTGACTGCCGCCCCAGCACGCGTGCCCCTGAACTTGTCTTCAAAGTTCTCCTACGGGGTTGGCAGCCCCCTCTTGAAAGCTGCTCCGTAGCCGAGGCAGCATATGGACTGTTGACAGAGCAGCTGCTGGGGAAGAAGACGCTGAAAGGAAGCCTCGAGGGATAAACAGGAGAAACCCATGTCACCACGTGGCGCCCCAGGCGCGCGTCAATGCTCCAGCTCGTTCACTCTCATCTCCTTCCGGGGGCGAGGAAAGTGGTTTTGGACTGCTGTGCTCGATTGTCTGCTCTTAAAATAATGAACATCATTATCATCCTAATGAGAATGAGTATGACAATGATAGCTAACAGTTGTCGAGCACTTATAAGTGCCAGCCAGTTCTCTAAATGATTTCAGGTGCGTTATTCCATTTACTCCTTCAAACCGCCCTCTGAGGAAAGAGCTGTTGTTGTTCCCATTTTGTAGATGAAAAACCAAGGCTAGAGAGCTTAAGGATTTTATGCTAGACACACGGCTAGTAAGTGACCCAGGTCTTGTGCCAAAGCCTTCACTCTTAGTCATTGTTGTGATTTCCTATTACAAGCATTTTGAGTGTCAGACCACTGTAGTAGGACTGATAATTAAGATGCATGGTGTCGTGTAATTTACAAAGCAATGGGTGCATTCATTCTCTCATTTGACCTCCAGAGAGTGGGGGGCAGGTGAGAGTCATCTCTGTACTCCCAGCCTTTAGAACTGGGTCTGGCACAGAAGCATACAGTGAATTAGAGGAATAATACATGAATAAATAAATCAACCCTGGGGAAGTGCTTTCACATCCATTTTGCAGGTGAGAAAACAGGCTCTTCAGAGAGTTTTGCCTGAAACCACATAATAATAAACTTGGTTGAGAGGAGATTTGAACTCTGATCTGCAGACCACAGGTCCTGTCCTCCCTCTTTCCTACCTGGAATGTAACAGGTTAAGTGGAGGAGAAGTCTGGGTTGGGGGTGGGGCAGGGAAAGAACATAAAGCCATGAGTGTGGTTTATTTCAGAGTTGCTTACTGATAACTTAATAAATCCCCAGGGTAGAGAGCTTGAAGAGTATTGTTTCAAATGACATCCAGATTGAGCAAAAAGATGTTAATTTTTTTTTTTCCTGTCCGGAGCCCTGTCTGCAACCTTATCCTCAGTGGCCCCAGGAAGCTGTGGGTCTGTCAAATGCCATTTCCCCAGGTGGATCAGTCATCCCAGTTGGGGATCTGGACCTTCCAGACGTGAAGGCAGAAACGAAGAGCCCATTCATCACATTGAAAGCTGACACCTGACAGAGATTCAATCCCATCTTGATGCTGGAAACTTGGAGAGAAATGGAGTGGATTAATTTTCTCAGGTACTAAAGAAAAAAGTTTCTGAATATCAAAGGTAGGACCAGAAACTGCATGAATGGCTCTACTAGAAAGCTCCACTCCAGGGCGTGGCAAATCAGGGCCTGGCTATTGGCAGTCTCTTGTTTCTAGAACATGTTTCTGGAAGATTCTTCAAATGCATGTTGCACACAAATATGTTAAGCATGAATTTACTATGCTATTTGGCACAGGGAAAATACTATATCCAAACTCTGCCTCCTTTTAAGTTGAGAATGGGCTGGAAACTTGGAGGAGGTCAGGTTCCTAAGGATGGGCTTTGCTAAGCAGAGGAATATGGGGAGGCTGCAAACTGGATTAGCCAAGAGAAAGCTAAATCGTTAACATTTTGTGGGGTTGAACTTAAGAATTTCTGAGTCCTGTGGAGTTCATGGACATAAGGACAAGAACAAAAGGCTGCCACATCTGAATTGCAAACCTTTTTAAAGGTCCACTGAGACCAGAGGCACTTCTACTCCAACCCTTCTGTAATCCGTGAGGCACAAGGGTAACCTTAATGGAGTTCTTGTATGTAAAGAAAGGAACCAGATTCCCGGGCCCTTCTGAGTACCCATGATTTCTCCCCAACCTCATCTGATATGCTTTTGCCTCTGGGTGTTTGCTTACGCTGTTCCTGGTGCCTGGAATGCATATTCCTCTTTTCCGCTCACCAAACTTTCATTTATGCTTAGAAGCATAAATCGAGTCACACCCCTTGTGTGTAAAGCCTTCCTTGGACACTCCCAGCGGAGTTGGTTACATTCTGCTTGGGATTCCCACTTTGCATGTTCTTCTACTTGTCACAGGCTATTGTCTTCGTTTTGTTTGTTTGTTTTAAGAGACTGTTTTCCACAGGCAGGAAGGAGGACAGGCTTCCTATTCCCTTTCAGAAGTCCAAGGGCCAGGTAGATTCTGGTGCTTGTTAGCGGCTCCTTTTTGAAAGAACAGGAAGGTATGAAGTCTAACCTGTTGACAACGCCAGGATGGTTTTACTTTGTATTATTCATTTTGAGCAAATTTCCAAGGGGACTTTGAGAGACCAATGGGGAACAACGTGGAGGACTCCTGAGATGCAGACTCCTGGAACTTTCCCTGTCCCTGAGTTGTGGTTCAATAGAAAATGTGCACTTAGAAAGATATCTGCCCAAGTCAAACCTGTGTCCCAGGGAAAGGGAGGGCCAGGTGGAGACGGCAGATCTCATCCCCACAGACCTCCAAAGGGCCCTTTGGCACCATGATTGCTCCCTCTTCAGTCCTTCCAAGCCCTGTTGATGTTATAATCCCTGTTATTCAAATTGCACCAGAGGAATCCATGCCAGTCCATTCTGGCTTAGTCACTTCACTCATCAGCCCAGCATCCAGGGTGAGTCATTCAGCTTCAGGTTCCTTCACTTGTGGATAACAAAGTTGCTAACTTCATAGGATGGTTAGAAGAATTAAATAAGAGGTTATTTATTTATCCGTGTATTTATTTACACAATTTAAATGGCAGTATAACATAGACTGAAGTGCAAGAATCTTAACTGTAAGCTCAATGATTTTTTTAACATACATGTGCAGCTGGTAACCACCACCCAGATCAAGATAGAGAATTAAATGAGATTTTAAAAGCTGACAGAAGCTTATAAACTGTAAAGCGCTGAAGAAATGTTGGTTTTGAGTATTACCAGGAGGTGGAGCCTCTTTCCCATTAAATTCCCCTCCTATAACTTCTAGGTTTCTAGAAATCATTAGCACCAGTTGCAACACCCTAGCAAATCATTGCTGGTGCCAGGACCTTGATACCCCAGCCATGCAGAGTGGAGACACAGACCCATCCATTGCTGTTAATCTCCACATTATCAGCATGACTTCTCTGAGTCATGTTAGCCCCTGCATCCTCCCCTTCAGGCAGCAGGATGTCCTCACAAAACAGGGCCATTGACAACACAGGTGTGCAATTTCAATTCAGTACAATTTGATTCAAAAAGATGTGCCCTTTATGCTGGCGCTGGACAGAGAAGGGGAGAAGAAACTTTCTTGGCTGGGCCCTCCAAGGGGGCTTGAAATCTGTGAGGCTGTGGCCAGTTTATACATACCTGTGAAGTGAAGCCCACAGAGGCAAGAGCTGTGACTGTCACCCTTCTCACCCATGGGACTCTCTACCAGAGGGTTTCCAGACCCTCTCTCCAGGGCTGTCTACTCCTCTGGGCTGTAGCCAGCTTCTCCACTTTACCTGCTAGATTTCTCTCCTGGCTACTCTATGGCCCTCAGAACTTAGTGATTTCCTAAGAAACCCATCTTTTTACCTCTTCCACCTGGCTTCCTCCTCCTGGCTTCCCTCTTTCTCCGTTCTGGCATCACTAACTCCCAATCATCCACTCTAAGCCATATCCAAGGGTCAATTTTACACTGGCCATGGTTCTTCCTTCTGAACTTTCTCTGTCATTAGCTCCAGTGTCACCTTGAAAAGCCCCCATTCTGCCAGAGCCTCCTAACTGGCTTTCTATCAAAGCTGGAGTCCACTCCGTCACTTCCCTGACAAATGTTACCCACCCTTCCAGACCAAGGAAAACGCCTCTGCCTCCCAGAAGCACTCCTCGATTCCTTCAGTCACATGTTATTTACCTATTCCAACTGTTGACTATGGCCAGCCTTTCTCACAGTAAGTTTCTCACTCTCTCTTTCTGTCTCTGGTGTTAGGGCAGTATTTGGCCCTGGGCGATGGTGAATGAATGGATGAATGCTGCATTCAAGGCTAGACAACATAAGTAAAGGCAAAGCCATTGAGCTATTAATCATACTTTCAGGGACCCAAACCTCTTTTAAAAGGCCAGAATATGCTAATTCAAGTGGAGGCTTTGAGAGTCTTCCTTTATCCTCTCCATCCCTGACCCTTGAGCCTATCAGAAATGGGCAGACACCTGACACCTCACACTGCTCAATGCATGAAAATGCTGAATCTAGAGAAACTTTGTCATAATTACCTACCTACTTGAAAGTACAAACTACGTAATTTGCCTTTAAGTGTTCTTAAATTAATATAAATAATGAAGTATGCTCAGAATACTCAAGTACTGGTACATCAAATTGAAAACAATTAAAATTAAGATGGATTTGTTAGTATTGTGACTATTATTGATTAAAATGGTAATGATAAATAAGGAGAAATGTTAAGTACAACAGGGAGTTGGTAATATTTCTTCAAAGTAATCATTTTGCTGTGACTACCCAATTATTAGTACATTTAATGTGTTATTCAGTGCAATTAATTACCCACTTTGCTTCTGGGAAGGCACTAGGAAAAAATTGCTTTCTGCCTGGAGTGGAAAAGCCACTGCTTCTGGAGTGATGTGTGATGAAGACCACGCTCTTTGCGGATGTGGCTCCTAGCAACTCTGATAGAAGCTGCACATGCCCTTAGGGAAGAAGGGACACAACAGATGTAGCAGGTTCTCACTCTCACAGTCACTTGCTTTAGTAACCATGAGAGGTGCTGGTAAGCGGGCTGGAGGATGGAATCAGGAAACCTAGCCTGAGTCTTGGCTGGGTCAACTAGTTGTGTGACCTGAGTTTAGCTGCTGTGTCTCTCAGTGGTTCATTTTCCTCCTCTGTAGAATGGGAATAATACAACCTGTAGAGATCTCTATGTAAAGGGGACCTGTCAGTGGTGCAGATGTGCTGGGCTACAGTGATTACATGTCAAGAGCCTCAGGTCTTCCCCCAGGCTCACTCTGACTTGGAGATTTGCTTCTGGCTCCTGTAAACCACTTCTGGGAGTCACCTCTGGCAGTGTGCCATAGGTCTGCAACATCTAAATGCAAGGTGAATGTGGAAGTTTGCATACCTGCCCTCTACCCCCACTGTCAGAGGCATTTGAACCAGAGGGACTCCATCTTGAACAGGGGCTGGGTAAAATAAGGCCGAGACCTACTGGGCTGCATTCCCAGGAGGTTAGGCATTCTTAGTCACAAGATGAGATAGAAGGTCAGCAGAAGATACAGGTCACAAGACCTTGCTGATAAAATGGGTTGCGGTGAAGAAGCTGGCCAAAACTCACCAAAACCAAGATGGCGTTGAAAGTGACCTCTGGTTGTCCTCACTCCTCATTATACACTAATTACAATGCATTAGCATGCTAAAAGACACTCCCACCAGTGCCATGATGGTTTACAAATGCCATGGCAATGTCAGGAAGTTACCCTATATGGTCTAAAAAGGGGAGGAACCCTCAGTTCCGGGAATCGCCCACACCTTTCCTGGAAAACTCATGAATAATCCACCCCTTATTTAGCATACAATCAAGAAATAACTGTAAGTATAATCAGTCGAACAGCCCACACCACTGCTCTGCCTATGGAGTAGCCATTCCTTTATTCTTTTACTTTTTTAAACTTGCTTTCACTTTAGTTTTTGGACTTGCCCCAAATTCTTTCTTGTCCAAGAACCCTCTGTTGGGGTCTGGATAAGGACCCCTTTCCAGTAACACCACTCCATCCTACATCCCCGATCCAGGTGATAGGCTCCACTAGCCTTCTTTTCTTTCTTTGCTGGAAAGAATGTTAGATGGGACAAATGATGAGATAACAATTGCTGGACACTTTTACAAAGCTCTTGCCTATTTGTTTTCTTATTGTCTGTACAACCATTCTACTAGGTCAAGGAGTTTTATTAACCTCATTTTACAAACAAAGACACTAGGGTTTAGACAATAGGATCTAGAGAGGAAAAGCGACTCTCTCAAGGTCACAGAGCTAAGAAGTGGTAGCTTGTGTACTTGAACTTGAACCCTCTGACCCCAGGAACCAGGATCCCTGCCCCTTTAGCTTTCTTATATTATTGCCACATTTCCTTATCCTCGAGTCTTCCAGCTCCCAACTCTCCCCTATGCTAAGGTTCACTGTATTGTTTCATAAAGCTAATTGCTAGTTTTTACATAAAGGCTTTATTTTCTGAGCTCTAAATTGCCCAAATTAGATTTTATTAAGCTCACACGTATGATTTTCCTTGTTTTTATTAAAATTAAGTTCACTCACTTGCCATTTGCAAGGGAGTTTGAAATTAGATTGCTTGGTATCCACGGAAACACAGGGAGAATCTTCTATGTGATCGACTTTTACCCACAGAATAGAAAAAAAAAGGCAGCTGGTAATTAGGTGCGTAATTCATAGGCAAGCTCCAGAGCTCCGTGGCCAGGATCCTCTACTTTGTGGCTGAGCCATTATGACAGCTCTTCCGGCGTTTCCCTGTGCTGGGGAGGAGCAGGAAGGATGGGGGTGTGGGAGGAGCTGGTGTCAGTCCTAGCTCTGCCCCTTCCTCATTCTGTAGTTTTGGGAAAGGCAAGTCTCTTATCTGGGCCTCAGTTTTCCCATCTGTAAAATGGGGAATTAAGGAAGTTAGCCATGGCAAAAATATTTTATCCCACATTTTACTTCTGATTCCTGGTAGCGAATGGCTGTAACAGTGTGATGGGAAGGCTTTTCAGGTCATACCTGGACTCAGCAGAAAATCACGTCTTGATTAACTCACTCATTCAGCAATTACTAATTGAGCAACTGCTGAGTACCAGGGACTCTTTCAGGCGCTGGGGAATAGGTGAACTACTTAGAAGAGGCTCAGTTCTCAGGATACAACAACTATAAAAACAGACAGCTAAATAAATTAAATTTAAAAATGATCATAAGAGAAGACAAATCAGGGAAGGTGATGCTACCTTAGATTTGGGGGGATCAGCAGGAGATGATATTTGAGCTGAGACCTGAGAGGACAAGAAAAACTCAGTCATGAGGAGATCTGGCTGCAGCCAATGTGTGGGTCACAAGGTGGGATGGAACTTGGCATGCACAAGGAACAGAGACAAAGCCAGCGTGGTAGCTGGGGGTGAGATGGTCTCAGATGGACTCAGCGTGGGAGACAGTGGCTAGATGGTGATTGATTTGTTATGTCTGCCATTGACAAGGGAGCAGGGAGCCTCACTGGTGTGTGCTCCCTATTTGTAATCCCTGGACTAAATGATCTCAGCAGTGACATTCCAGGATCTTGTAGGCAAGGGCCCCTTCCCAGTATAGGGGTGTGGCTTCCAGAAGGAAGTTGTGGTTGTATTACTTCCAATAGGGTGGGTAGGGAGGGAAGAGTCCTTTGGGAAAGGGGTTGCCATTTGAACTGGGCTTTGAAGGATGCTCATTTCCATACAAAAGGGCGACATGTCCTTCTCCCTGGTACCTATTTTAGCCTGAAGAATCTGGGCTGCTTCTTTAGCAATTTAGGCAAGGTGTAGCCTGCCATGGGTAAGGAAGACTATCTGTTGGCCGTTAGTCAGGTGACATAGACAGGACACTTCAGTTTTTCTGAGCCATAGTTCCTTCATCTTTAAAATGAAACAGCAATAAAATTTACCCCTCAGAGTTTTGTGAGAATTAAGTAATAAATTGGCACAAAAAACTTTATGAAATATACCAGCATTTTAATATTTATAATTTATATATGAAACAGCCTTAATACAATATTGACACTATTAAATACGATTAGTAAGATTTAAAACTTTTTGTTATTATTAGGATGACTCTTGATGCTCATCCCTCAGAAGAACTTCATGATTTTTTCCTGAGTATAAATTGTCACAGCTTTTGTGGAAAACAATGAGCAGTGTGCATCAATGGCTTAAAAAATATTCTTTTTGCCCAGGAATTCTACTTCTTAGAATTTAACAAAAATAAATAAGTGGACTTCTGCTTCTGGCCATGGTTGAGTAGCCTATAGCAGCCTAATGCTCCTGCTAAGAACTAGAAACACTGAACAAAATACAAAAGAAAAGTTGTGTGTATTCACCCAATGGAATAATATACAGCAATGAAAATGAATTATTGCTACAAGAAAAACATCATGGATGAATCTTACAAACAATGTTGAGCAAAGGAACCAGATGCAAAATCTAGGCCAGGCAGGGTGGCTTACACCTGTAATCCCAGCCCTTTGGAAGGCCAAGGTTGGAGGATTGCTTTAGCCCAGGAGTTCAAGACCAGCCTGGGTAACATAGTGAGACCCCATCTCATAAAAAAAGCCCCATGTCTACTCCTTCTGGAATATCCACCTGGCTCAGCCTGCCTGTTTCGACTCCTGCCTCCATCACATCCATCAGAGTGACCCAGAAGTCCTCTGGCCCCTGGGCCTTCAGCAGCTGCACCTACGTGAGTGGGCCTGGCGTCTGCATCAGCTCCTTGAGCTGCTCCCGAGTGGGGAGCAGCAGCTTTCGGGGTGGCCTGGGTGGAGGCTATGGTGGGGCCAGTGGCATGGGAGGCATCATCGCCATCATGGTCAACCAGAGCCTGTTGAGCCCCCTTAACCTGGAGGTGGACCCCAACATCCAGGCCGTGTGTACCCAGGAGAAGGAGCAGATCAAGACCCTCAACAACAAGTTTGCCTCCTTCATCGACAAGGTATGGTTCCTGGAGCAGCAGAACAAGGTGCTGGAGACCAAGTGGAGCCTCCTGCAGCAGCAGAAGATGGCTCGGAGTAACATGGACAACATGTTGGAGAGCTACATCAACAACCTTAGGCGGCAGCTGGAGACTCTGGGCCAGGAGAAGCTGAAGCTGGAAGCAGAGCTTGGCAACATGCAGGGGCTGGGGGAGGACTTCAAGAACAAGTATGAGGATGAGATCAATAAGCATACGGAGGTGGAGAATGAATTTGTCCTCATCAAGAAGGATGTTGATGAAGCTTACATGAACAAGGCAGAACTGGAGTCCCTCCTGGAAGGGCTGACTGACGAGATCAACTTCCTCAGGCAGCTGTATGAAGAGGAGATCCGGGAGCTGCAGTCCCAGATCTCCGACATGTCTATGGTGCTGTCCATGGACTACAGCTGCTCTCGGGACATGGACAGCATCATCCCTGAGGTCAAGGTGCAGTATGAGGAGATTGCCAACTGCAGCCGGGCTGAGGCTGAGAGCATGTACCAGATCAAGTATGAGGAGCTGCAGACGCTGGCTGGGAAGTACGGGGATGACCTAAGCCGCACAAAGACTGAGATCTCCGAGATGAACCGGAACATCAGCTGGCTCCAGGCTGAGACCGAGGGCCTCAAAGGCCAGAGGGCTTCCCTGGAGGCCGCCATCACAGATGCCGAGCAGCGTGGGGAGCTGGCTGTTAAGGATGCCAACGCCAAGCTGTCCGAGCTGGAGGCCGCCCTGCAGCGGGCCAAGCAGGACATGATGGGGCAGCTGCGTGAGTACCAGGAGCTGATGAACGTCGGGCTTACCCTGGACATCGAGATTGCCACCTACAGGAAGCTGCTGGAGGGCGAGGAGAGCCGGCTGGAATCTGGGATGCAGAACGTGAGTATCCATACGAAGACCACCAGCAGCTATGCAGGTGGGCTGAGCTCGGCCTATGGGGGCCTCACAAGCCCCGGCATCATCTACCGCCTGGGCTCCAGCTTTGGCTCTGCCGCGGGCTCCAGCTCCTTCAGCCGCACCAGCTCCACCAGGGCCGTGGTTGTGAGGAAGATCGAGACCCATGATGGCAAGCTGGAGTCCGAGTCCTCTGACGTCCTGTCCAAGTGAACAGCTGCGGCAGCCCCACCCCGCCTGCCCCTCCTGGCTGACCCAGAGCGGGGGAGGGAGGCCGCTGTGAGGGAAGCACAGGGAACAGGAGATCCACCTCAGGCTCAGCCCTCGCCCTCAGCCCACGTTGGGGGGAGTTCACTCCCTGGGGCACCCTCCTTGCCCATGCCTCCAGCTACAAAACAATTCAATTGCTTTTTTTGTTGTTGTTGTTGTCCAAAATAACCTCAGCTAGCTCTGAAAAAAAAATCTGCACAATTTTATACTTGAATTTGTATAAAATTCAAATATATATTTATATATAGATGACATAAAATACATTAAAATGTATCTAAAACATAAATATATGTAAGTATGAAATATATTAGTAAATATATAAATATAATTTATATTTGTATTTATACTTTATAAGACAAATAAGCAACCATATAAATATAATGTATGTTTGAATTTATAGAAAAGTTAATCTAATGGTGCTTAATATTAGGATAGTATTACTCTGAGGAGACACAAAAGGGCCTTGGGTTCTGGCAATATTCTGTTTCTTGATCTGGGTGGTGGTTCTGTGAGGTATTCACTTTGTGAAAAGTCATTAAACTGTGTTCTTTTGATTTTTGCACTTTTCCATATGTATGGTTCACTTTGATTTTAAGAGAGTTTCCCTAGATGAAAAAGGAAGTCATTGGTTATGTGGATAAAGATGTTTATTACAGCATCATATATGTGGTGAAAAAGAGAAATTGCCTAACACTCCAATAATGGGAAATATTTAAATAAAATATGGTAATGATACCATCTTTAAAATAATGTTTTCAAGGGACTTTGTGTGGGAGAATTTTAATATTACACGATTAATTGAATAAATTATGAACATTGTGTATGGAATCTGGGCTTGGTGGGCTGGGTATGTTGGCACATGCCTATAATCCCAGCACTTTGGGAGGTCAAGGCCAGTGGATTGCTTGAGCCCAGGAGTTCAAGACCAGCCTGGGCAACATGACGAGACCTGTCTGCAAAAAATACAAAAATTAGCCAGGCTGGTGGCTTGCACCTGTAGTCCCAGCTACTCGGGAGGTTGAGGCAGGAAGATTGCTTGAGCCCAGAGGTCGAGGCTGCAGTGAGGCCTGATGGCACCACTGCACTCCAGCCTGGGCATCAGAGACCCTGTCTCAAAAACCAACCAAACAAACAAAACAAAAAAATTTGAGCTTAGGCTAACTGGGCTACTTCCTTAGCTCTAGAGACTGGAGGAAATGGGATAGGCTGGAGTGTGGAGACAACCTCTTCTGATTGTAGGCTTCTCCTCACTGCAGCCTCTGCCATGGGGATACAGATTAGTCAGTGGAGTCCTCCCAACCCCCGCCAAAGAGAATGATTCAAAGGTCTGCTCAGTGTCTGCTTTTCCTATTGTAAACAAAGAAACAAACAAAAAACCCCACAGTGGACTCAATGGAGCCCTCCTCTCGGCCAATGGGATTCCAAAGAAACCTGAAAAACTAGTTCAGGCCATGACGGGAAGCAGGTCAGACATGCCTCATTATGCTCGCCTCCCTTTGGAGTTCAGGCACAACTGACCAGCATTAATATTAAAACAGAGATCTTAAGACCAACAAAACAGACTCTTTGTAGTAATAAGACACCAACTTCTAATACCTGACTCTTGTATAATATCACATGACAGATAGCAGGCTGTTTAAAGTATCAAGCTATTTTACCCCAAAATATATTTATTTGCCATATTTTGAAAGGGACCTGCAAAACCGTCTCTTGTGGGGGAAATTTACATTCTGTAGAGATTCTTTTCCTTTTCCAGGTCTTTTTCTGATCCTGTAGAAATTAGCTGAGAGTCTAGCACCTGTTAAAGGTGCCATCTATTGCCTCTAAGGGAGGCTGCCTTTGAGATTTCATCTATATAATAAGAACCTTGGTCTCCACAACCCCATATCTTAACCTAGACACTCCTTTCTGTTGATTCCAGATCTTGAGATAATAACTGAATTCTTTCAATCAAATGCCCATCAGAAAATCCTTGAATCCACCATTGACCTGTAAGCCCCTGCTTTGAGTTGTCCTGCCTTTCCAGGTTGAACCAATGTGTGGTATACCTCACATGGACTGATTGATGTCTTATGTCTCCCTAAAATGTATAAAACAAAACTGTAACCCAATCACCTTGGGCACATGTTCTCAGGACCTCTTGAGGCTGTGTTGGGTCGTGGTCCTCACATTTGGCTCAAAATAAATCTCTTCAAATATTTTACAGAGTTTGGCTTTTTTTTTCATACACTACCTTCTAGGGAAGTGAAGCAGATCCCATTTCCTGACCCTGATCTTCCTTGTCCTCATCTCTCAAAGAGCACCATCATTCTTTAACCACCTCCTTTCATATCTCCACCATCCTGGGAGACCCACTTGCCTTTCCTCAGCAGCACTTGGCTCCGCTGAGTTAACAGATCTGGATAGTTCCCAGCACCCCTCTCCCAAGGCTTAGCATCAGTCCAGATGAAAGTCATGGGCAAGAAGAGAAATATTTTCCTACCTGCACTGTGGTTTACAAACTACCTGCCCACAAATTTGTAAGTACTCCATGTTATTTTTTGGAGTTATACTAGTAATTCTTTCATTCCTCTTTCCACTCTGCCGCCCACCTTACCCCAGGCCAGTCATATTGGACTTAACATAACTGCTCTCTTAATTACTGAAAGACCTGGGAGAGGTGTTGTAATCACCAAGTGTAAGAGCTTGATTACTTACGCCCCCATGCAAGCCGCCTTCCTCTTCTCTCAAGGATCCAAATGGGGATGGGGGGGATGCTTTCCAAATTTTCTAATATGAGTTTTTACCACTTTTATAATCAGAAAAAAATATAAAATAACGTTCTTTATCTCTATGAGTCATATAATGTTAGTATGCTGTGCCTGCAGATCACCTGGGGACCTTGTCAAAATGCAGGCTCTGATTCTGTAGGGCTGAGGCCTGGGATTCTGCATTTCAAACATCCCAGGGGATGCTGTTGCTGCTGGTGCAGATGGTGCTTTGAGGAGGATGGGTACAGGCTGTGACCCCCTCCCTTCTCTTCACCTCCCTCCCCCCATGTTTCACAGATCTTCACAGTTCACTGCCCATTTCGTGCAATGATGAGTAAGTAAGAGGAGTTTCAAGGAGGTTGAAATCTATACATGTTTGGGCTCAACACACAGCATTTTGGTGGTTATTTCTTTAGAGAACAGGTTCCCAGATTTGACCTCCTTTACACCCCAAACAGATATAACCATTTGAACCCACAGAAAGGCGCTTAGGAATCAAGAGGCAAAACTCTGGCCTCCGCTATGCCAGTGACTCAGTTTTCCCTCCCCCTATGCAATTGATGGCACTTTGTGTACATTGTTGGTAAAGATGATGATTTTCATGGTCCTACAAAAGGATCGTTATGGAGTTAGGGAGCACTAAGTCACCAAGTCTTCACTGGAGGCTGGAGGATCACTTACTGGGGTGTCGTAACAGGGATTTGAACATCAAAGGGGAAGGTGGCTAAAAGACCTAGAGTATCCTGAGTATTATGAGTCAAAGATAGTTTTACTTTCCAGTTCTATTACAGATCAAAAGATTACATTATATCTTCTTGGAGAGATGGAGAGATAAATAGGAAAATACTGAAGCTACATTAGTGAACTATTTTTTTTATTATTTGAAATCAAGCAGTGCTAGGGTGGAAAAGACACTTAAAGGCCTCTAGTTCTGCCTGCTTATAGGAGATGCTCTGTAGAGTTTTGGTGCCATGGTCAGAGAATGCTCCCAAATTCAAAAGGAGTCTTCCTGAGGGATGGTTGTGATAATCTGGTCTCCAAACAAATACTTCATTGACAGGAATAAGTTGCCTCCCAGTAATAAGTTGCCTCCCCTACCAGTAGGTAGGTCTGACTGTTTGGAATTCTCTCAGGTAACTAGAAATCTGACTCCCTGTGATCTTCACCCAATGTCCCAAGGTTTCAACCAGGTGTTTCCAAACGTCCCTGCTGACAAATATCACCTAGGATGCTTACTTAGAATCCAGCCCAACTCCAATTTACACAAACAGATGCTCATGTCCCTCCTCGATATTTTGATTCAATGGGGCTGAGATGGGGTTGGATTTTTTTTTTTCTAATAACCATGCTGACTCCCTTCAGGCATATGGGCATATGGAATCAGTGAAGGAGGCATTTAGATACAAAGGTTCATTCCTTTGACTCCAGAGAAAAATCCATTATTGAAAGTGGCAGATATACAGGTTGGCTGACTTCTTTATTTCATATTTACCATATGAGTTGCTGGGTCATATTTTTTTCAACTGAACATAAATATGAGATACACACACACACAAGCGCATTTTAAAATGCCCCTGTCCTTATGATTGTGAGAAAGATAAGTGAAGCTGTTTTAAGGTAGATACAACTAAACAAAGGATAGAGGAAGAAAATATTAAACTGTGAAAAAACCTTACAAATATAGTGATTAACAGCAGCAAAATTGAAGTCAATGTCCAATACTGAGGTTGGTGGACTGATTTTCATTTTAAATGTTTGCCCAAACTAGGAAGAACTACAAAGATACTCATATATCCTGCAATCCAATACTTTTCCCCCTAGAATTTTAGGGTAAGTAAATCATTCAATAGAAAATAAAGACCTATTCAAAAAGATCCTCATAGAGGCATTATTTATAATTTTGATAAAATTATGAAAAAATTCAATATCCAATAATAGCCTGTTAAATAAACTGAGGTATAACTATGGAATGAAATATGCAGCTACTAAAATTACTTTAAAAATCTATGTCAATTGGAACTAATGCTTATAACATTCAATGTAGTATTGTGGAAAAAAAATTAATCCATTTACAGTTTTTTGGTATATAGCTGAGAGATGAGAACAAGGAAAAGTACACTTTTGTTAAACAATTATTTGCTTAATAAAAAATATATTTAAAATAATACCATTAATACAATATTATATGCACAAAGCCAACAGAAAATTTTATTTAGAGGAAGTAGAGGATTAGGCCTTTGATAAATGTCCATTGAAATCAAGGCCTCCCTCTTTCATGGGACCCTAACTAAGGTCTTTGAGGTGTGGAGGGAAGGCTCTTAGAGTCAACTGGTTCAACCTCCTAAGCATTGTAAGGATGTTATTTTAGCAACCTTGACATTTGATACCCTTGGACCTCTTTGACTTCCATTACTGGTAAGCAAGCTGGGAAGTTTTCCTCAAAGCTCACTGCCACCTTTGGGAGAGATCCAGTGTGGTGGGTGGTGGGTAGAGGCAGATGGTCAAAAGCGCAACTAGGAAAGCCAGACTTCCCATCCCAAATTTTGTTTGTTCAGACCAGAATTCTTTTGTTCAGAGCAGATTGGCACCAACTTCTCAAAATTTGCATCGGAGAACAAAGATTCATGTTTGAGTAAAAACAGTGAGAATAGCACAGCTTGCTTCTTAAAGGTTCCTCCTGCCCCCACTCCCACCCACTCAAATTCTCTATTTCTGATCTTTCAGGGGCAGGGGAACCCATGAGTCTGATTAGGAACAATTTCCTGGACTAGAGGCAAAAGCCTTTGAGTCAGGGCCTCCTGAAAAAATGAATTGGCTCCATGGGGACACTTTGAGAGAGTTGGTCTGGGGGCTGCTGCAGGGGCATTAGGGGCATTTCTGGGTGAGGGTAAATGTTCCTGAGCATCAAATTTACCAGGTTAGAATCTGGATAAATGGGATATTACTAATTATATTGGCATGAGCTGGATTTATGTATAAAGAGCAGATGTTTCACAGTCAGAAAGCCAACACTCAATCTTGGCTCTGCCTATTATTAGCTATGGGATTTGGGTCAATCACATTCCTTTTCTGGACCTTAGTTTCCTTACTTATGAAATGGGATAACAATTTGTCTTGTACAACTCACAGGGATGTTGTAAAAATCATTTAAATACTAGATTGGAAGTACTTGATAACTTCAAAAGATTGTGTATGCTAGTTATTTTAATAATACTGGAAATAGTGATATTGCAATTCTGAATTTTATTTTGGGGTCTTAAGTATTGATTCCTATAGGCTTGTAATTATTTAGGGAATGATGAATAGACTCCCATGTATTGAGGTTGTATTACAAGTTAAATTCTTTTTCCATCTAGGCTACAGGAGGGTTGGGGGTAGGGGGGTGGTCAGTGGAGGGGTGGTAAGCCAGGCAAAGTATGTAAGGAAGACATGCCTTCAGAAAGCCTGCCCAGACACCTCAGGCCTTGTTTGTTTTATATCATTGACTTGTCTATAACGAGGAAGTGTGCACGCCAATGTCATAAATGATAGGAGAGAATCTTGAAGTCTTTTGCAAGAATGATGAATCAGAGGTGCCTGGGATGGAATCAATATACCATAATTAACTATTGCCTTCCTTATTGACAGTAAGCTAGAAGATTTTAATTTTTTTACTACTACACACAATACTGTGATGAAATTCTTTTATACATGTACAAGATGTTGTGTGGGGCACACAAACAAGTATTTCTTTTGGAAAAAGTCCTAGAAGTAGAAGGGTCAGGTCAATTGATATGTGCATTTTAAAATTTGATGGGCGTTTTCAAGTGGACTTCATCGGTTAACTTCATGAGTTTACACACAGAATGGGCCTGGAGAATGTCTCTTTCTTCACATTTTCACCAACACTTGACATCTATCTTTTTACTTTTTACCAAATAATTCTCTTTTCTCTCACCAGCTGTGATATGCAGCTTTGCATGCTCATTGAGTGTATATTTTCTGTGTATTGCCTGTTTATTTCCTTTTCAAATTTTTCTGAGGATTTGTCTTTTTCCTGTTAGAAACTCTTTTTTTTATTATTTTATTTTATTTTTTTCTTTTGAGACGGAGCCTCTCTCTGTCTCCCAGGCTGAAGTGCAGTGGCGCGATCTCGGCTCACTGCAACCTTCGCTGCCTGGTTTGCAGCGATTCTCCCACCTCAACTTCCCGAATAGCTGGGATTACAGGCACCTGCCACCGCTCCTGGCTAATTTTTGTAGTTTTTTAGTAGAAACGGGGTTTCACCATCTTGGCCAGGCTGGTCTTGAACTCCTGACCTCGTGATCCACCCGTCTTGGCCTCCCAAAGTGCTGGGATTACAGGCGTGAGCCACTGCGCCCAGCCTAGAAACTCTTCATATGCTCCATATATTAATCATTTACCTGTTAAGTATGTTGCAAGTATTGTTTCCCAGACTTTTAAACCTGCCTTATGGTGTATTTTAACTTAAAGAATTTTACAATTTTTATGAGGTTAAATTTGGGAAACCAATCTTTCTTTCGTTCTTTCTTTTCTTTCTTTCTTTCTTTCTTTCTTTCTTTCTTTCTTTCTTTCTTTCCTTTCTTTCTTTCTTTCTTTCTTTTCTTTCTTTCTTTCTTTCTTTTCTTTCTTTCTTTCTTTCTTTCTTTCTTTCTTTCTTTTCTTTCTTTATTTCCTTTCTCTCTTTCTCTCTCTCTTTCTTCCTCCCTTCTTTACTTCCTTCCTTCCTTCTTTCTCCCTCCCTCCCTCCCTTCCTCCCTCCTCTCTCTCTTTCTCTCTTTCTTTCTTCTTTCTTTTTGATAGAGTCTTGCTTTGTCGCCCAGGCTAGAGTACAGTGGCACCATCTCAACTCACTGCAACCTCCGCCTCCCAGGTGCAAGCAATTCTCCTGCCTCAGCCTCCCAAGTAGCTGGGACTACAGACGCGCACCACCATGCCCAGCTGATTTCTGTGTTTTTAATGGAGTCGGGGTTTCACCTTGTTGGGCAAGCTCATCTCGAACTCCTGACCTCAAGTGATCCTCCCACCTTGGCCTCCCAAAGTGCTGGGATTACAGGCATGAACAACTGCGTCTGGCTGGGAAACATTTATTTTACAGTTCCCGGGTTTTGTCTCTTGCTTAGGAAGACCTCGCCACCCTAAGTTAAAAAAATATTTACCAGTTTTCTTCACCAATGTTTTCATCTAATATTTTTATGATTTCGCTCTTTAATTCATCTAAAAGTTGTTTCCTGGGGATGGATGGTGTGAATTAGGAATCTAAGACAATTTCTTCCCAAATGAATCGCTAATCGGTTCACTTCCACTTGTGAATTAGTCTATTGTTTCTCCATTAATTTCAACTACCATCTTTATTGTATACTTAATTTTCATATATACTTGAGTTGGTTTCTAGGTTTTTAATTCTGTTCCATTGATCAGCTTATCAATGTCTGTATGAATAATAGACCATTTTAATTACTACAGCATACAATGTGTTTTGACACCTGGTAGGATCTGGTAGGATAAGACCCGAATTAAAAATGCTATTGAATTTAGATCAAAATTGCATTGATGGATATATGTGGGAAAAATCAGTATATTTTCAATATTAAGTCTTGAAATTCCCAACCAGGAATATAGTTTATTACTTCATGTATTTAGGTTCACATCATTAAGTACATTTTTTAGTTATCTTTAAATAGATCTTGTATGTTTTAAAAATTATGTTTATTTTCCAGATTTTTTGTTGTAAATGGAATCCCTTAGAATTATTATTAGATTAATTAGTACGGGTATATAGGAAGCCTATTGAATGAATTATATTGATGGGCTTATCCACAGTTTTTTGAACTTTTTTATTCTAATAGCTTTCAGTTGTGTCTCTTGATTTTTTTTTTTTTTTTTTTTTTTTTTTTGAGACTGAGTCTTGCTCTGTCGCCCAGGCTGGAGTGCAGTGGCGCGATCTCGGCTCACTGCAAGCTCCGCCTCCCGGGTTCACACCATTCTGCCTCAGCCTCCCGAGTAGCTGGGACTACAGGCGCCCACCACCACACCCGGCTAATTTTCTGTATTTTTAGTAGAGACGGGGTTTCACCATGTTAGCAAGGATGGCCTTGATCTCCCGACCTCATGATCCACCCGCCTTGCCCTCCAAAAGTGCTGGGATTACAGGCGTGAGCCACTGCGCCTGGCTTGAATTTTTTTTAAGTGGGCAATCATCTGCACTGAGTAAAAGTTTGTTTTTTTCTTTCCAATCTTTATATCTCTAATTTTCTTATCTTTTGATCCCCCAGAACACTAATGACTAGTACCCATGACAGCAATCAATTCTGTCTTGCACTTATCTTTAGTGGGAATGCTTCTAAGAAATCCCCATTAAATATTTAACTACTGAGGGTTTCTGATAGACAGCCATTTTTTATGTTGAGGAACTTGCATTCTATTTCTGACTTACTGAGATTCTAAGAAATTAATTCTTAATGTTGAACTTTATTGAATGCTTTTTGTATTTATTGAGGTAATTAATGTTCCTTAATCTCTGTGCTGAATTGTAGGATGAATTTCTCTAATGTTGAAATGTCTTTCGTCCCTGGGCTAAGCTCTCCTTGGAAAAAAAATGTATTCTTTAATATACTCTTGGATTTTATTTGCTAATATTTATAATTTAGGATGTTTGCCTCTATGTTTGCAAGTGACAATTGGCCACCACTCCCTGATGATTCTTATTCTCCTTGTTCTCATCTCTAATGTCATTTCATTGTTAACTATAATCTATGGCCACCTTAGGCATCTTACTCTTCTCCAAACATGTCAGGCTTTGTCACACTTCAAAGCCAATACGTTTACTATATCCTTTGCCTGGACTTCCTTCCCTGAGGTGTTTGTGTGGCTGGATGCTTATTAATATGCAGGCACCTGAATTTATCGCCACCTTATCTAAACTAGTCACCTGCTGTCATTCTCTGCTCCTTTGGCCTGCTTTATGTCCTCTGTGGTACTATTTCTATCAGAAAGTGTGTTATTGACCAATTTGTTTCCTTGTTATTATCTGTTTTTTCCCAATAAGTTGTCACTCCATGCTCAGGGGAATTGTCTGCCTGGGCACTGCTGCATGTAGATCACAAAGTAGATGCTCAGGAAATATGTATTAATAAATGCTGCCCCCCCGCCCAGATAAGATGCATGGGAGACAAAATTTCTCAGTTGCTTTAGGTTTGAATTTTTTTTTTTTTTTTTTGGTCTCCTTCATTGTATGCTAGCTGATTGGCATAGGATTCCAATATATAAGTGGCAGTCTCTGTATATGTAAAATGAAGATAATAAGGCACCTGTCTCATGGAGATTTTAAGGTCACTAAATGTGAAATGTATATAAAGTACTTATTGCTATGCAAGGCATGTAGTTAGCATTCAGTAAATGTTGCTGTTACTGTTATTGACCACTCCCTCACGAAACACCTGATGGGCCTCCCTGTGTCTCAGTTTCTCCTCATTCTCAAATGTGGTCAGCAATTCCGGCTCCCTTATTCCACAGGGTGCTGTAAGGATTTAACATAAACACGGCATTTGAAAATGATAGAGTGTTATGTGAACACTGTGACTCTTTTCTGCCATACCCAAGAGAGAGCCTCACTAAAGGAACCCAGGAGGCAGCGCACCCAGTGAGCAGGGCAAAACCTGGAGCTGGACAGCCCTGGGCTCAAATCCTGACTTGACTATTGACCAGCTGTGTGACTTTGGGCAAATTTTAAGCCCCTTTGATCCTCATATTGGTTGTTATCGCTACTCACCTCTGTAAAATAGGGAATAATGGCCATTTCACAGGGTTACTGTGGGAATTAAGTGAAAGCGAACATGTAAAAAATTCAGTTTAGCACTTTGCACAAGAGTGGGCTTAATGATCATTTAATAAATATCTATTAATATTATATTTTTCTATGAAACGAATTGGCAAACCATGATTTAGAGCATTCTCTTTCCAATTTTCCGTCATCAAAATAATCACACTTCGCACATCTTCACTGGCAGATTTCACAGTTAGTGGATTCGGGAAAAGTTATTTACTTGAATAACAAATTCTTCGTCCAATTCTCCAACCTGCACATTCAAGTGGGGGTTGTTAGAGATCTGCGTGCAGTGTGGGTGGATTGCAGGAGGCAGTGATCGTGGTCGTAGAGTTAATGCATAGGACCCTCGCTGTGTGCCAGTCACTGTGCCAAAGAGCTTTACAAACTCGCCCTCATTCATTCTCATCGTACAGATGAGAAAGCAGAGGTCCAGAGAGGATAGAAAACTTGCCCAAGGCCACACAGCTAATCAGAGTCAGAGGCTAGAGCTGAGCCAGCAGCTAGACTTCAGAATCTGTGTCCTGTGTTAGAATGGAGCAGAGGCATACGAGTACAGCGGCTTTCTTCTCGGCCGCTTGCAGCATGTCTGAGAGAGGAAGCAAGGGGTCTCGACATCCTCCCCACAGCAAAGGGAGAGATCTCAGCACCCAATCTGTCAATTTTCTTGGGTATAAGTTATTTGCTCAGAGAATGTGCTTGACAAATTATTTTACAAATGAATGAATAATCAACGAAGAAGCGCATCAACAAATGTAGTCTTCTGAAGACCCCTGTAAATAAGGCTACCAGAATATGCTGGAAAGGTCACAAAGAGAAACACTGGATTCACTTTTAGCCCAAACTATGGATAATGCTCAATCTTAGCATCTATTCTTGGCATATGCAGTAAATCCTCAGTTAATGTCATTGATAGGTTCTTGGAAACTTCAACTTTAAGCAAAATGATGTACAGTGTGATAGAACCAATTTTACCATAGACTAATTGATATAAACAAGAGTTAAATTGCTACAGCATACAGTATGTCATTTTGCTTAAAGTCACAGTTTCCAAGAACCTATAGACGACATTAAGAGAAGACTTAGCTGTGTTTTCTTCTATTAATTATATTTGTATATGTGGCAGGCTGGCTAGCTGCTCACCAAACTTAGAGCTGTGTTTCCCAGCTTCTTCTGAAGTAAGGTGTACCATGAAATGGATTCTCTCCAGGGGAATGTGAATGGAATTGATGAATGTCACTTTCTAGCTGTGGTGGTTAAGAAATAAGTGTGTGTCTTCTTTCTTCTTTCATTTTCCTCGTCTGCTGACAGAATGAAGAGGACCCTGAAGCCCTAGGAGACAAGAACAGAACCACAAGATGGAAAGAGTTTGGGTTCCCAGAAGGTGGCCCACCAACTGTCAATATCTGTGTTGGATGTTCACCTGAATGAAAAAACTTTTATTGTATTGAACCACTGGAGTTTGGGAATTTGTTACAGCTGCTAGCATTACCTTGTTTATTTTGTTGTTGGTAAACTGGTAAATCTATAACTAATAAATAACAGGAACATACGAAGGATGCCTCAGAAGCTCCCTCTTCCTCTCTACTAAAGGTACAGGAATGGTTATTATAGTTTAAAAGGCAGTTTTACATAGTCATTGAACCCTTACAACTTGGCATATTTACTGTTATATGGAGAAGATTGGAATTCAGTTAAGTGGCTTCTCCAAGGTCACTCAACTGGCAATTAAGAGGGAGATGCGGACTCCAACCAAGGCTTGTCTGGTATTGCAGCCTCTACTACTTCTGTCACGGCACAGTAATAAATGTGAAATTCTATGGGGATAAGTTCCCTTTCTGTCAATATCATGTCCAAGATGTTTGGACATGTCCTTCTCCCTCCTTCTTTTCACCTTTGTCTCTGCCAGAGTTTCTTTAGGATGCAGTGCCCAAGGCTTGTGATTAAAAACAGCTGCAGAAGCAGGAGCAAAACATTACCTAAAAATAAGTAGCACCTCAGAACACAATGTGCATGGACTTCTGGGAGGTGGACAGAGTTGGTGGGGTGTGTGACATAGAGCTGCCGCAGGGAAAGCTTTGGTTCTCCACAACAGGCATCTCTTTCTGTGGTTGGCTATTCCTGGGAGTCTCAATGAACTTGATCTCAGAATCCAGGGCAAAAAAAATGGACTCACTCTTCTGCTAAGGAATGAGAAAACTTCCTTTAAGAGTTCATTATCCAATTGGTTCAAACGTATTTAATAAAATGGAAGAACTCTCATCGAAAATATTAGGTAAAAAAAATGATGCAAAATAGCCTAATCAAAATTTAATTAATATTTTTATACACACACAGTTTGCAAAAAGATTGAAAGAATACACCTCAGTGTTAACAGGAGGTATTTCTGTATGATGAGCACAGGGTTGAAATTTATTTATGTTTAAATTCTTTTCTGTCATTTTTAATTTTTGTAAAATAAACACATACTACTTTTGGAATTAGAAAAACATGTTAAGAAAAAAAAGTAGAGGTTAGTTTGCCCTGAATTAATTTAATTTTAAAATAGACTTTGCTTGTTTTCAAATTATAGCTTTGTCAAGAGATACAAAAATTAAATGAGCTACATGTTCTGTAACAAATAATAAATTTATATTTGTGTTATAAATTATATAATGCGCTATCAGACTAAAATTGAAAGCTACCATACAGATTATTCATATAATATTCAATTTCAAACTTTTAGATTTATTCTGAATTGCCTAATCCACTACAGAGTTCAGATAACATAAATTTTCATTTTGTTTTTGATATTTTGATTTTATTTTTCCTAAAAAAATGACACAAGCAAATAAACTACAAATGCAAACCTGTGTAGCTAAAATTGAAAAGCAAACTAGATCACAAAACATGTATATAAATTTGACAGAAAGTTGAGATTTACATTTTTTAAAGAGTATTTAAAAAGTTATTTATAAGAAAATAATCAAGTCTCTAATAGGTAAATGAGCAAAAGCTATAAGCATATTTTTCTAAAAATATATAACTAATAAAATAACAAATGTATAAATGCATTTATACATTTCATAATCATAATCAATGCAATGCAATATAAGCAACTATTCTAGACCCCAAATCCTGACAAAAATAATTGTGAAACTAGAAAACTCCTCTCCAGTCTTCTTGGAATTACCTTAGTGAGCTTCAAGAGCCAGAGCTGCCACTCTGATTCTTTCTTTTAGTTATTCCAATTATGGAAATCTGCTTTGCAGGTAATTCAACAGAAAAGTTTAAATGAAGAAAAAATTAATTTGAGATGGAGTCTCACTCTGTCACCCAGGCTGGAGTGCAGTGGTGCGATCTCAGCTGATTACAACCTCTGCCTCCTGGGTTCAAGGGATTCTCATGCCTTAGCCTCCTGAGTAGCTGGGATTACCAGTGTGTGCCTCCACACCTGGCTCATTTTTGTAGTTTTAGTAGAGACAGGGTTTCACCATGTTGGCCAGGCTGGTCTTGAACTCCTGACCTCAAGCAATGCATTCCCAAAGTGCTGGGATTACAGGTATGAGCCACGGTGCCCGGTCTAATATTTTCTTAAAGTATAAGGAAAAATGCTTGAAACAACTCAACTGATTCATGGAATAGGAACAGAAGTAAATTTTTGTGTCCCGACTTAATGGAATAATATAAAGCAATGATTACAATGGCAATTATGAAAACAATAGAACTATAGAAAATATTTATCATGCAATATTAAATATTAAAGAATATTCAACTATATTTCTGCTATGACTTTAATAGTAAAATTATTTGCACCTACAATCAGGGATGGAAAAGAAGAAAAAATGAAAGTAGTTAGATCTCAGTGAGGTTGTGAATGAACTTCTCTCCTTCTTTAAGCTTTAAAAAAATTGTTTGAATGTATATATGAATGAAAAGAAAGAAAATTTATATTTCTTCTTATCTCCATAAAGAAAATGTTTCTAAATACGACTCTCTGTGAGATTTGAGTTGATATAATACCTCTTTTAGAAATAAAATGATTAAAAATCACTACAACAGATTAATTAAACAAATATTTATTGAACTTTGTGTTGCTTTCCATTGCTGCTGTAACAATTTCCACAAACAGGGTGGCTTAAAACAACACAAATATATTATCTGATGGTTCTGTAAGTTAGAAGTCAGACACAGGTCTCACTGGGTTAAGATCAAAGTGTTGACAGGGCTGTATTCTTTCTGCAGGCTTTAGAGGAGAATCCATTTTCCCCTCTTTTCCAGTTTCTAGTGGTCACCTGCATTTCTTGGCTCATGGCCTCTTCCTCCATCTTCAAAGCCAGTAATGGTGGGTTGAGTCCTTCTCCACATTGCATCACTTTGCCCCTCTCTTCTGCCTCTTCTTCCACTTTTAAGGACTCATATGATTAGATTGGGCCCACTGGGTTAATCTCGCTTATTTTGAGGTCAGTTGATTAACCACCTTAATTGCATCTGAAATTTTAATTCCCTTTTGCCATGTAAAGTAACATATTAATCATCATTCTGCCTACTCCCAGCTCTTCCTCTGTGCCAGATGTAGTGCTAGGAGATGCTGGGGAATTGGAGAGATGGGTACAAAGATGAAGTTCATGGTTAGATATTGAGATCAGCTCTGGAAGAGAATGCGTACAACACCATGGAGACAGTGCTTAGGCTCACAATAAATTAATAGATGATTTGCAGAGACTTGGGAGAGAAGCATGGTTCCTTCTGGGCAACTCGAGGGAGGTATCATTGTGGATTAGCATTTGAATTGGGCATGAAAAGACAGGTAGGAATTGGATACAAAAAGCAGGCAGAGGAAACCAATAGTATTTCAAGTCAGAGATAGCAGATCTAAACTGGTGAAATAGCCATTTTTGTAAGGGGAAATGATCAAATATTTATTTTTTAGTTCAACCTCATACATCAAAGCAAAATGCATGGAGGCATATGACAGCAATAAATGTTGGAGGAAAAATTCAGAAAGCCACTTCCCCCCTTTTCTAAGTTTGAACTTCTAGTTTGTTTGCTTTATCAGCTGTTCATTTTCTGATTTTTTCCTTACACAGCCTTGAAGGTGCCAGTTATGCAGCTCTTTTCCAAGAAAAGTAGCCTCTTAGTATTTTTTTTTTATGACATATAAAGCCTTATGCTTTCAGTAGGACAAATTCTGCTGTCTTGATTTGACCAGCTGGAGCTAAAGGCTGACTAATAGAGAAACTCCTCCCTGGTGCCAATCATCTGGCCCTATCAGACTTTGCTTAGGGCAGTTGAACGGGAGAGATCAAGACATAGCAGAAACTCTGGGAGAGAGGGTGGGGTGGAGGTGGGAGAGAGAGTGAGAGAGAGGAAGAGCTAGGCAAGTATTGGTTCAGAGCTGCTATTGCACCCTTAAATAAGTTTCCCACTACTGAAGGCTTCCTGGATGTGTATCTGTTTCTTGAAATCAATAAAAATAGTGTTTGGCATGTTTCAAGGAAAAATCATGAGATATCACCAAACCTCTGAGTTTGTGTCTGCAGGTTATTTTGATTATTAAGATTTTCATATTGGCTTGATTATTCATGAGCTGGAAACAGTCCTTGTGGTAGCCAAGTGCTGGATACCTTATCTCACACAGCTCCTAATTCAGATAAGTACCCAGGGATTTTTTTTCTCCCAAGTCCTGACCAGACATTATAACACATCACATCACTTTATTGCTCTGAGTTCAGGTCAGGATAAGGATGCTCCTAAATGCCTCGGTGTAAAATTCAGAGAAGATGCCACACAGAGAATAGTATTGCTGTGGACTCTGCCTCAATACCCAACTCTAAATGGCAAAAATGAAAAGATATGGTTAGAATGAATTGCAAGCCTTTGCATTCAAATTTATGGAGTTTTCCCCCCGTAAGAATAGAACTCAATAAAAATTCAAGGCAGGGGAGGGGTCATGAGGACTGCTGGGTTACAACGCAGGCAAACCTCTAAAGAAAGAATATAGTAGACCAGCTAATACATTAATTTGAGAAAGAGAAAAAAGGGTGACAAAATGAAAGAAGACACCTTTGAGTGGTATTATTAGTAATTACCATTATAAAATGGAATAAAATTAAAGCAGACAAGAAAAATAGAGAAAAGACATGGTTCACAAAGCATTTCTCATAAATTCAGAAATAGGGAGATTTTGACACAACCCCTTTTTATAATCATAAGCTTCAAGGAATTATAAAAAGGACATTAGAAACAATAATTGGCAAACTGGAAATCATTACCAGCCAACAGGAAGCAATAGAAAATAGTCTTGCAGATGAGAGGGTAAGGACAAGCAAAGCCAAGAAATTCTATAAGTTGGGCTTTGAAACAAGAGACAGTCTTGAGGACTGGCAGAGGAGAGATGTTCTCCAAGCTATAGGTAAATTTGAAGGAAGCAAAAAGGAAAATAGGAGGAAAAGAGGAAGAAAACAAAGGAAAATTCTTACAATAAGTTTCCTGAATAACTATCACAGAAACAGCCCAGGAGCACCTGCAAAGAGAAACCCAAATAAAGTTGCACCAGGATAATTAGTGGCCAAAAATTCTTGAAGTCCCTGTGTAAATAAAATACCTTAACATATGGAAAAAGAAAAATTCTATCCTGTATGTCTCAATATAATAAAAATAGTACCATATTTAGCGACGGCCACTCTAAGAAAAAAATGCAGTGAATGGTTCCTGAGTTATTCCAAAAATAAGAGCCCAACCCCAGTTTTGGTTTCAAGCCAAAACACACCTTTGCCTGGAAAGGGAAGACAAGACTTTTACACAGCCTCAAGATCCACAAAAATTAATCAGTCTTGGTGCTGCAAGAACACCTTCAGAGGTCAGAAAGTTTTCTTATCCTCTTATCCCAGGTGGGCTTAAGACAAGGGCTGTGTTGTATAAGATGACCAGCCATCCTGGTTTGCCTGGGATTGTGGGTTTCCAGGGATGCAGGACTTTCAGTGCTAAAACTGTGACAGTCCCAAACTGAGATGGTTGGCATCCTAGTGCTAGTTTCCCCTATGTGACAACACAGTCAAGCTAATTGGGCTCAAATGTTAGTAAATATACATGTTTCAAATCCTTGAAATTCTTCAGGTGCTGCATTTTACAATTTATTATTACTTTTCTTTTTTTCTAGGGAAAATGACCCTAAAATGTTCAGCATTTGATCGTTAATTTATCCATTCAATTAAATATGTATTGCAAGCTTTATATGCCCTGGGCTGGGTATGGGGTTGCAATGGCAAGTAAGCGCCTCCCTTAATGGAGCTTAGAGTCTAAGTGGGAGAGGAAGGTATGAAACCAACAGACATATATATGCTTATAATTAGAAATGTGATTGATGGTACAAAGGAAAAGAAGTGATATGATTGAGAAGGGCTTGGGGGATATAGCTTGGACTAGGGGAGGGGAGGTCTGGTCAGAAAAGCCCTTTTAAGGAAATGATATGCAAACTGAGACCTGAAGGATGCAAGGAGAGAGAAGCTAGAGGAAGAGTCAGGCTGCACTGGGGAAATGATGTTGCGGATGGAGGCAGAGGGCAGAGAGGTTCCAGATGAGGAGCAGCATGTGCAAAGTTCCTGAGGCAGGAAGGAGCTTGTTGAGTTGAAGGAGTTGTGAGAAGGCTGATGTCTTATATGAATTACAGGGAAAGAGAATTGCTTTTCAGCTGGAAGAGCTAGGAGGACCAGAAGCAATGGTGGTAAAAATGGTCCAAGCAGAATTGTTGGATGGGAGAGAGTGACAGACACAGGGATACATAGACATATTGAGAGATACACGCAGAGGGAAGAGAAACCAAGAAGGTTAAAGGTTAATGGTGGATGGTGATTCTTTCTGCTTGAACTCTTCTAATAGTAGTAGCCTCTAATATTAGTATAGTGGCCCTGAGGTCTTTCTTGACAAACACATATTTTACAAGGCTTTTGAACACAGATGGAAGCAGAAACTCTGAAACAGCCAAAAATAAGACAACAGCAGAGATTTAGAAGGTCATGCCATAGAGGATACAACCCTACTGAATCTGAGATTTGCTAAAACGAACAGAAAAAAACCACAAAGGCTGTCTTCAGCTAAGTGCCAGAAGGGGTGCTGGCATGTCTCATGTCCAGAAGACCCAGAAATGGCTGAATATTGCTCACCACTCCATCTTAAGAGGTCCCCAAAGAGGTATACCTGAGGGACTATGGCATACCAAAGCAGCATATTCTTGCTGAGCTTGTGCCCAAACTGTAAAGTAAAGCTCTGGTAAACTTGGCTGAGAGTGTGACCGAGGCCCAAAGCTTAAGGGGGGCTTCTCTCAATGGTGAGGGCTAAACTCAAGTCATATGACCAGTCTGCATCAGCCTCAGGAGGTCAGAGGCTGTCTTAGCCTGTTCAGGCTGCTATAACCAAAAACTATAAACTGGGTGGTTTATCAACAATAGAAATTTATATCTCACAGTTCTGGAGGCTAAAAGGCACAAGGTGCCAGTAGATTTCATGTCTAGTGATGACCTGTTTCCTGGTTCATAGATTGTGCCTTCTTACTGTGTCTTTATGTGGTGGAAGGAGTGAGGGTCTTTCCGGGACCTCTTTTATAAGACACCAATCTCATTCATGAGGACCCTACCCCCATGACCTAATCACCTTTCAGAGGCCCCTTCCTAATACCATCGCCTTGGGAGTTAGGATTTCAACACATGAATTCAGATCACAGAAACATTCAGACCATGGCAGAGGCCAAATAACACTCATCAGAAAGAGAGAGTGAACTGCAGGATCATATCTCCTCCCATGAAGAAGACTCTGGTGCTCTCATCACCAAGTTCATGAAAAAGAACAAATAGAGGGGGTGAGCCACACGCCAATAGGCATGATTGTGAATTACTCAGGGCCTTTCCCACAGGTACACATAGCCCAGTCAGGGCCCTGGAATCTGAGCTTGCAGCTCGGAATCCACTTCTCTTGGAGCAAAGCAAGGAGATGGCTGTAGATGGGTGGAGAGTTTGAGTGCACCTGTTCCTTTAGAGGCCTCCATTCCTGTAAACCCAGTGGCCTAACAGCCAAGACTAAGGTTGACTAGGGCATGCGCCACCTTTCTTGGGGAAGGAGATTAGCAGGCTGCATGGGAAATCCTACTGTGATGTCCCCATAGCTGCTGGGATTGGGATAAATGTCAGATGGTCCACAACTCTAGGTAAAAGAGAGACAACAAAACTACTCCTTTCCATTCTGTGTCCAAAGTCTCCTTTGAGAAGGAGATGTCAACTGGAAAGGATCAGGCAAATGTAATTAGAAGGGATTGGAAACCTGAGACCAAGGAAGAGAGGGGAGTGGATTCAAGTCTCCCAGCCTAATTACGTTTCACCTTAGTGTACTAGAAAAGTGCAGGGAGGTGGGCTCAGTGATTCTGAGTCATTGGAGAGTCAAATCTCCCTGAAAAACTACACGCTATAAAAGATCATGTACATTTGAAAAGTGAAAGAACATGAAGTTTTAACAATATAAAAAAGGAAGTAAGAAATTAAAAAATGGAAAGTGATGAAGGGTCAGTTCCAGAAAACTGGGCACTGTAAACTTTCCGTGGGGTAAGCTATCTGGTGCATAAGAACCCTAGGAGGTGAGTCATATTTTCCACACTTTATAATAGAGGAAGCTTAGGTTTATAAAAAAAACTTTATGACAGTTGGTGAGGATCTAGGAATTAAACCCACATATGTTGATGTGGAGACATAGTCAAATACAATTAAAACTCTCTCCGGTGGCTCCAGTATACCATGTCACCTCTCTAAATGACACGCAAGCAATCCTGAAAAACTTCTAGCACCGGTTACCAGGCATGATGATCTATATGAATCCACACTTGTGGTTCCTGGGTTAGCTGGTTCTATTAAGCCTTAGCAAATAAATATTGTTTCTTTTTGTTTTTGTGGACTGGCAGAGAGGAGCTGCCAAATCTCTATATCTTGGCATCAGCAAGTCATCTAGATAATTTTTTGAGAGCTGGATGCTTTTCCTAAAGCACAACTGAATCCATAACCTGTTCATTACTCAGGGTAAACCTGTAGGGAAAATTTTTCTATGACTCCAAACTCCATCTTTGGACCTGTTAATGATTGTAAATAAAGTCTAGGTGAAGAGGTAAAAAGGTGTGTTTTAGAGTTTGAAAGATGAAACAAAAGAAAGAGTCATGGCTAAACCATTGGACAGGGTGGGACAACTGACCTAAACCAAGATGATGGAATTTAGCCAAACTAATAGTCCAATGCTCAGCCATGGGGAGCCTCTCTGTTTACCAAGAAGACCAGGAAGAGGCTTTCTCTACAGAAATACAGGCTCTGGCTAGCAGCAGGCTGCACAGGAGCAAAGGGAAAGTCAACATGTGGATGCAGATGTGGGTGGCCTCTCCCAGGAGACTGAGGCCCCAGGTGAGCAGGGCCACCATTTCCAGATGGTCCTCTGAGAACATCGCTTTTTTATTTGGGGGCGTGTGTGTGGTGCAAGACCAGGGGTTGGGACACATGTTACATCAAGTTCTTGTCCCATTCTCCTTTGCTTCCAGAAGGCAGAATAAGAGCTTCCATCAAAACAATGACAAACAGCAACTCTCTCCATGGTTAACTAAATCTACAGGCACCTACATGCCAAACAGCACAGAGAAGCATTCAAAGCCAAGCCAAGTATGTATGCTAAGAAATTTCGAAATAATTTTAAACTCAAGGAAGTCAATACATTGTGTGGATTTTAAAATATAGCTCAAGTATAACTGGAAACTCTGAATTTTCATTTTAATTCTTGCCATAAGATTCCTACTAGTTTTTTTATATTATTGGCTAGAAAGAAATGTTGGGTTTTATTTTTTTTTATTTTTCTTTTTTCTTTTTTTTTTGGAGACGGGGTCTCACTATGTTGCCTAGGGTGGTCTTGAACTCCTGGGCTCAAGTGATCCTCCTGCCTCAGCCTCCCAAAGTTCTGGGATTACAGGCATGAGCCACCATGCCCAGCAAATGTTGGGTTTTATATGGCAAAACTGAATAAAGAGAAAGTCACAAAAAATGAAGTCAAAAGCAGAGAGGATGGGCTCAGCCTAATTTTCAGTGTTATTGAAAAGCCACCGGGTCACATGAGGCTAATGTGAAATATAGCAGACACAGGCTTCGGAGTTGGAAAGACCTGGGTTTGAATCACACTCTGCCACTTAGTGTCTGGCTTAGTATTGTCATATAGTAAATGGACTAATAATACTTATTTTAGGAAGATTAATTGAGGTGATGTCTGCAGAGCGTTTAGTACAGAGCCAGAACCATAATAAACACTCAAATTTATTATTGTTGCTATTATTGTTGTTATCATCATTATAGTAGAGTGTATAAAATCAAGTTGAAAATCCTCATCATCAACGGATTAAAAAAATCACTTTAATAATAGACCCAGGAGGCAACTAATCCATTAAATTCCCAAGCCAGGGAAATACTCTGAGAAGCAAGCAAATTAAGTAGCAAATAGTGAAACTATCATTATAAGTTAACAGAGGGTTTCAACATCAAGCTTAAGACAATAGGTATCAAAAAAAAAAAAAAAAGAAGAAGAAGACAACAATATTGGTCCAATTGCTTAGAGGTAATAAATTTATGCAGTATTTAAGTATGTAAGAAATAACATTAGATAATATTACCTACTTAGAATATGCAAAGCTAAAATGTCTCTGCCAAAAGGCAGACAACAATGAAGTTTTAATGAAAAGAACAAATGGGATAACAACAAGGAAAGAGAAAAAGCTAATAATAGATTAAGAATTAATCACCAAAAGATGATGTTCACATAAAATAAGCTAAAAATGCATACTATTTTCGCAACCAGAGAAATTAAAATAATTCATTAAAAATATCTGGGCCAGCCGTGGTGGCTCATGCCTGTAATCCCAGCACTTTGGGAGGCCGAGGTGGGCAGATCACCTGAGGTCAGGAGTTCAAGACCAACCTGGCCAACATGGTGATACTCCATCTCTACTAAAAATACAAAAATTAGCCGGGCACAATGGCGGGTGCCTGTAATCCCAGCTACTTGGGAGGCTGAGATGGTTGAATTTCTTGAACCCGGGAGGCAGAGGTTGCAGTGAGCCGAGATCACGCCATTGCACTCCTGCCTGGGCAACTGAGCAAGATTCTATCTCAAAAAAAAAAAAAAAAAAGTCTGTAGCACCTAAAATCCCCCATGCCAGAAGGCAGACACAGAAGTATTAACAAGATTATGCTACTGAGAGATTTTTTTTAACAATTAAAAAGTAATAATAATAAACATGAAAATAAGATAGCTAATTAGCAATCTCAAACATGTGGAAATAGGTCAGAAAGGAACATAAATATATATAGAAGATATATGTCACACATATCTATTTCTCAAGAAGCAGTAGGGTCTTTTTTGGTAAAAATTATGAACCCAGAATTCAAGACAGAAAAATAAAACCAAGAAAATAGATAACATTTGGGTCTCTTTAGATACATAACTTACTATTGTGGAAGTTTCAGAAATATTATTTTTTTGTATTATTTTGTTTAAACAATACTGGACAAGGACATAGAAATCTAAATATAAAAACTATGTTGAGAGATTGACTCACCTTTCAAGCATGGCCAGTGTGACCTTCCTAATTCATATATTATTCCAACCTTAAAGAAATCTGATAGGTCTCTAGTGAATGTAAAATAAAGTTTAAACTTCATAGTCCACTGCTGAAGTCTCTGGCTAGAAGCAAATATCCTAAATCAGGCTGCCTGGATTGAAATCCCGCCTGCACCACTTTTTGGTATTACCTGAAACCTGGGATGTTACTCGTTAATTCTTAGATTCTTCATCTGTGGAGCGAGGACACCAGTGTCTCATAGCACTCTGCCTGGTGCCCAGTGAACACGCAACCAATTGTCACTATTATGTGGATTTCTTGCATTTCTCATCTTCTCTTCCATTATTCTTCGTTCAAACAGCTATTCCTGAATACACCCCATATCTTCCACCTCTGTGCTTTTCTTTAAATTTTTTTAAAAAACAGAGTCTTGCTCTGTCACCCAGGCTGGAGTGCAGTGATGCAATCTCGGCTCACTGCAACCTCTGCCTCCCGGGTTCAAGTGATTCTCATGCCTCAGCCTCCCTAGTAGCTGGGACTACAGAACACCACCAAACCTGGTTAATTTTTATATTTTTAGTAGAGACAGGGTTTTGCTGGTCTCGAACTCCTGGCCTCAAGAAGTTCACCTGCCTTGGCCTCCCAAAGTGCTAGGATTACAGGCATGAGCCACTGTGCCTAGCCACCTCTGTGCTTTCTATTTTTATTTTATTTTATTTTTTGAAACGGAGTCTTAGTCTCATACCGTTGCGCAGGCTGGAGTGCAATGGCAAGATCTCGGCTCGCTGCAACCTCCGACTCCCAGGTTCAAGCGAGTCTCCTGCCTCAGCCTCCTGCATAACTGGGATTACAGGTGCCCGTCACCACGCCCAGCTAATTTTTTTTTTATTTTTTAGTAGCGACAGGGTTTCACTATGTTGGCCAGGCTGGTCTCAAACTCCTGACCTCGTGATCCACCCGCCTCGGCCTCCCAAAGTGCTGGGATTACAGGCTTCAGCCACTGTGCCCGGCCACCTCTGTGCCTTTAATCTGGTGTTTTTAAAGGAAATTGAGGCCTGCTAAGGTCACAGATATAGTAAATAGCAAAACTTGGATCTGAACTCACCTCTGTTGAGTACCAGAGTCCTAACTTACTCCACTCCTACTTTTCATCTTATACTCACCTCCACTTGTATCAGATCAATTCCTTTCCAAAAAGAAATACCCCTAAACTAGGGAAAAAATACCTATTTGAAGGCATCAATAAACTACTGACTGAAGGGTCAAGATCATTGAAAGAAGGCAAATCCACTGAGATGAGCCTAGCGTTCTGCATTGCTTTTCCTCTTGAAGCATTTACTGCTTCATAAGAGAAACTAAACAAACGGAGGCCTATTCCACATTCACAGATTAGAAGACTCCATATTATCACTTCTCTCAAATTAATTTATAGATTATTATAAGCCTAATCAAAATTTTAGCAGATTTGTGTCTGTGTGTAGGGAAATTAATAAGCTGCTTCCAAAAATTATATGGAGACGCAGAGGGCCCAGATTCCTAAGACAATCTTGAAGAACAAAATTGGAGGACTTACACTATCAGATAAAGCTACGGTAATTATAAGAGCATCGTATTGGTACAGAGAGAGACAGACAACCCAGTGGGATAGAATAGAAAGGCCAGAGATAGACTCATACATGTACAGTCACCTTATTTATGACAAAGGGGACATTGCAATATAGTGAGAAAAGATTGGTCTTTTTAATAAATGATTCTGGGTCAACTGGGTATCCATATGGAAAAAATATGAATCTTGTCATCTACTTCACACCTTATGTAAAATCGACTCCAAGCGGATTATAGCTATAAATGTGACAGTTAAAATTATAAAGCTTCTAGAGGATAACACACGAGAATAGAGTGATGACTTTGGGGTAGACTGAGGGCTCTTAAACATTAGGGTGGAAGAAGCACTGAACAGAAAGGAGAATATTAGGAAGTTAGACTATATTAAAACTAAGAACTTCTGTCGAGGCTGGGCATGGTGGCTCATGCCTGTAATCCCAGCACTTTGGGAGACCGAGGCGGATGGGTCATCTGAGGTTGGGAGTTTGAGACCAGAGTGATCAACATGGAGAAACCCCATCACTACTAAAAAATACAAAATTAGCCAGGTGTGGTGGCAGGGGCCTGTAATCCCAGCTACTCGGGAGGCTGAGGCAGGAAAATCGCTTGAACCCGGGAGGCGGAGGTTGTGGTGAACCAAGATCATGCCACTGCCCTCCAGGCTGGACAACAAGAGTAAAACTCTGTCTCAAAAAACAAACAAACAAACAAAAAAACAAACAAACTTCTGTCATCACATACACTATTAAGAGAGTGAAAAGAAAACCAATAAGTGGGAGAGGATATTTGTAAAACATGTATTTGACAATGAACTTGTGCCAGAATATTAAAGAAACGTACGATTAGAAAAAGATAGACAATGCAAGTTTAAAAAATGTGAAAAACTTTGAACAAAACTTCAGAAGAGAGGATATCCAAAGGGCCAATAAACATGAAAAAGGGCTCAGGATTATTCATCAATTATCAGGAGAACAGATATTAAAATTACAAAGAGACAATGTGACATTCACTAGAATGGCTAAGTCTAAAACATTGATAGTATCACATGTTGGTGAGGATGTGGCATAACTGAAACTCTCAAACATTGCTGGTAGAATGTAAATTTGGGAGTTAAGCCATTTAAAATTACTGGTATTTAAAATTACTGATATTCAATCAATGGGAAAAATGGCAACTTCTGAAGGTCAAACTAATACAACTGTTTTGGTAGTTTGTCAGTAACTACCAAAGCTGGACATACATATAGCTGATGAGTAGCAATTTCACTTTTAGGTTTCACTTTTATGATACCCTAACAGAAATGTGCATATATGGGTTTCATAAAACATCACCAGGAATGTTCACAGCAGCATTACTTGTAATAGCCAAAAACTGTAAACTCTCATTTTATATTAAGAAGTCAAAAAGAACCAAACAAACTGTAAACAACTCAAATATCCATCATCAGTTGTAGGGAAAATAAAGAAATTGTGGTACATTTAGTCAATAGAATACTCTTCAACAATGAAAATAAATGAACTATAGCTACAGGTAACAACATAAATGAAATATTAAGTGAAAGAAACCAGACACAAAACAATACATGTTGTACAAAGTTCAAAGTAATCAAAACTAATCTACAGCAATAGAAGGCAGAATAGTGGTGCTTTGGGAAGCGTGTGTTAATAAATGGGAGGGGCATGAGGGGCTTTCTAGTGATAGTCTATTTCCTGGTCTAAGTGGATGTGAAAATCCATCCAACTGTACACTTAAGCCATACTTAAATGTATATCATACTTGTTAGGTAATTAATATTGTTTAATTAAAAGCTGGGGTGATTGATAGAGAACCCCAGACAGGTTTGTAACCCCAGAACTAAGGGTGTGGAGATTTGCTCCAGTGATCATCAGGAATCTTAGGGGAACATGGCCTTGTAGGTGTCTTGAGCTCCATGGGCCAACCACAGTAGAGGAGATGAACAGGTGCAGCGTGTTCAGGTACAGAGCACAAGGATAGTATCGCATCACCCCTTCCAGCAATCCTCACCTGCATGTGCTTCTGAGGAGATCGATATATTCTCTTGAGCTCTGCTGGGGGTACTCAGGGATGCTGGAAAGGCCAGTAGAGTGTAAGAGGCCTCGAGTCAGGTTGGAGAGCTCTCTGAGAGGGGTGAGCTTGTAACTGGAGACCATGGCACACACAATGAGCATTGATAGTGCACACAGTTTGGGCAGAGATCAACACCCAAAGAGCAACAGGACAAGTCCCCTTCACAAGGGCCAGTGAGCATCTGGAAGAAGCACAGCCAGGCACCCACCCTCTAAAACCATGATGTCATGTGGGGCCCCCAACTCCCAGACACTGTGCTAAGGATGGGGGAAGAAGGGGTAGACTTGGCTCTGGGATATATGGATGTGTGAGGAAAGGACCACAGCCAAGTCCCAACTCTCTTGTTCTCTTCTCCCCATCTCCCAACACTCTCCTCCTATCTAGGAAATGTGTTTATTTCCTACTCTTACTCATATCCTGCATTCTACCTGCTCAGAAGTTTATGAAAAAGCACCATACTATAAATCTTTTCTTCTCCCAAGAAAACTTTGTTTTTGAGAATGAAAAAGCACCCTACCATAAATCTTTTCTTCTCCCAAGAAAACTTTGTTTTTGAGAATAAAATTCTTGATTTTCACAGTTTTAAGATCCTAAATTGGAAGTTAAAGTTTGAACTGATATCTTTCTCTTTGCACTCCAGCTCTAAAAATCCTTCGTCTCCTCAAGACAATGAACCTCTGGCTGAAAAGGATATATTTGATGTTCAAAAAAGTGAGAGAAAAAAACACATTAAAATACTTTAAAATGTTATCTTGTCACATTAACTTTCATACTCCTTCAATAATAAGCAACAATAACATAAAGTAAACCTTTTACACAGCTGGAGTTTTTGCTATTAGATTGGTGCAAAAGTAACTGTGGTTTTCGCCATTACTTTTTCCTGTAAAGTTCCTGATGATAACCATGATTACTTTTGCACCATCCTAATAAAACGGTGACACAGTAGGTGTCACCTTTTTGCCACACAAAGTAGGTGGCATTGAGCAGTATGGAGCCTAGAACGAGGAGGGTGATCTTCCAGTTTTCCATTGTCCTGTGGCCAGGTTTTTGTTTCACATGATAAGTGGGTCATTTATAAGCGCAAGTGTGTTCAGGTACTGACAAAGAATAGAGGTGTATTGACACCACGATGTATAGAGAATAGTTGAAGAAGCTGTATATTTTAGCCTTAAAAAGACCTCAAGGCAACAGATCAGTTAACTTCAAATATCTAATAGGTTGTCCCTTCTTAATATTTTAAATTATACTTGCACATGTATTTTGGTTATGTCACTTCTTGTCTATTTTTGAATAAGGATGAATAGGTAATATATTTCCAAACAAATACAATACAATTCAATTCCTTACGTTGATCAGATGGACCAGTCTAACATAGTATCATCCTGTACTGTTACATCCCAGCTTTGCTCCACTTTGTTCCATTCCTTCCATTAAGAGTTGCTTGTCCCTGGCATCCTGCTGTACACTTTAACATTTCCACATGGAATATCCCTCCTTCACAGGGAATTGTATGTCAGGTGGGGGTGTTGGTGGTGGTCAATGTTTTTGAAACTATTTCATCACGAATGCCTATACTGGGAACAGTTATACAGCTTCATATTTAAACTTCAGTCTATTTTACCTATTTTATCTCAGGTAAGAAGCAGAGTCCTATTTAGGAAAGAGAAATTTGTTTTGTATCAAAACTCAGTCACTCATACTGCCACACATTTTAAAGCCTAATTAGTCTCTTATTTTAGAGCCTAAGGCAACAATGAGATCTGAAAGGCCCTTAGATATACTGCAGCTGTGGCTAAAAAAGAGGTTTCGAGCATATTATTCATTCATTTGTTCATCTATACATTATTGTACAAGCATTTATTGTGTATTAGAGACAGCGTTAGATGTGGGGGGGAAATAACAGTGACTAAAACACAAGATCTCTGACCTCCTTACCATTCTTTCGGTGCTGAGATCATTTCCTTACTCTTTCATCTTTTTTTGTTTTGAGCTTATTTGTGGTTTCCCCTAATTATCAGCTCTTAAGAAATGATTGGAAGCCCAGATTCCAATTTCATGCAAGGCACATACATTGGATGAGACCGGCCATATGCCTCAATTGGCACTTATTTCTTTTGTCAAGAAATGATTTGTTATGCCTTTAATAGAGATTTAAAAAATAGATGCAGTTTTTCCAAATCTCTATTACACATAATGGAGAATTTTCTAAAGCTCATTAGTGAAATGAACACTGGGCAGTTGACACTGAGTTTGGGCATAGGGATGCCAGATTGAATACATTATTTGGGACATACTTACTAAAGATTGCTTGTTTATCTGAAATTCAAATTTAATTGGAAAATTTTCCCCCTAAATTTTTGCAATCTTATTTGGACATCATAAATTTTATAAAGTAGATTAGGTCAGCAATTCATCTTTCAGTAGAATCCGGGCTATGTTTCCAAACACTGCCATCCAGAATTGCATATAAAAGAAGGCTGGAGGTCCTTTCGTATCTGAGAGAATTCTATCTCAACCTTACTGAAAAGTCACTGTGAGACTCCTTAAATGGAGAGTAACACAGGCATTAGAAAGGATGCAAAACATTCAAGAACCAGGGGCCTCTCGAGGGCCTGCCTATATTCGAGGCTGGAATGAAACTCATGAATGTGAAACTGCTCTGTAGAGGGCATGACAGTTCTTCAGGTGAATCTCTGGGTTCATGGCATAAACACTCCTTTATATAATGTTTATCTCAAAGACTAGAACAGTTCCAAGAGAACTCCTCTCCCTTGCCAAGAAAAATCTATTTTTAAAAACTCTTATTACAAAAAAACCCTATTTAAATATCATGGCAATAATCCCTGAGGAAAGGTGTAGTATTATAAAGAAAATTGTAAAATAAAAAGATTCAGGAAGAACTCTTAGGAAAATTTCTCTCTCTTCCCAGCTGAGACTTCCTGAACTCACATACCCAAATGACTCCAAAGAAATTCAGTATTTAGTATTTTTAAGTTATTTGTACATGAATATTTTACAAGGATTTTAAGAACAGATGTTCTCATATTACCCCTCTTGCAAATTTTCAAAATAGTCTTCTAAAATATCTTTAATATTCCAAAGTGCTTAACCTTTGTTCTGAGGTAATTACAGGTAAACACCTCATTACTCACTGGGCGGGTTTTTCAAGAATGTTTCTAAATCATGCAATCATCAAATGTCTCCAGCACCTGGTAGAGTCCATCAAAGAGTGGGATGAGGATTTATTCAACACAAATGCCCAGTGATGTCACTGACAGTAGTTGATACTTCTTTGAAAATTCCCTGATGACCCAGCTTCACACAAGAATTGAAAGGCAGAGAGTGAAACCAGCCATGGATGATAAAAAGGCAGGAGAAACTAGGGATGATTAGGCTGCAAAAGACATAGAAGGAAGACAGAGGGCTTCCATTCAAACCTTGAAGTGCTATTAGAGGAAGAAGGGATTGGGTTGGTTGTATGTGGCCCTAAGCAAGGACATGCAGCAGAAACTGAAGGAAGGTAGATTTCAGTCGATGCTGTAGAAGCTCCTCAAATGATGAGAGTGCCCAATTCTCCACTATATTTAGGGGGACTATATATCAGCAATGCTATACCTGCAGGGGAACTGGTCTAGATGGAGCCTACCTTATCAACTCTATGATTCTGTGGTTCACAAAATTTAGCAAGAGTGAAGGCAGAATGTGCTGCTTCTAACCCCAGGCATTGGGGATTTCTATTTGAACTTGAATCTCAGCTCTAGCCGAGTGAACTTGGATACATTGCTGAGGCTTAGATCTTCTAAGAACAGCAAAACATTGTGGTGAGGATTGAATAGCGTATCAATAATGCCTGGCATCTACCAGGTGCCTAAAAAATGCCTTGTTAAAAAAAAAAGTAAATAAAGAAAACTATTTCACCTGGGCTGGGCTTTGTGTTTCTGAGGTCTGAGCTTTCTCTGATAGATTCACAAGCACACCTGTGGGAGAAAAGCAGGCCATCCCAAAGTTTAGTGGGGTTGAAGAGGTAAGTAGTCTGACCCCCAGTAGATTCAAGAGGAGGTGATTGCAGATTTCACAATGGGTAGATGACTGAACCAGCTGTGGCATTGCATCTTTGGGGCTATAGGGCATGAGAGTACGTGAAAAGACTGGGTACTAAAAGTTATGGCCTTTCCTTAAAGGCCAGTTTCGGCTTTTAGACACTGGGCAAGCAAGACTCTTCTGCAGGAAATAGTAGCAGCACTAGACAGCTGGTGGGATGCATGGTATGGATCATGCTGGCACTGGATGGATGGTAGAGACTCTGGATGGATGGTGGGGACACTGCATAGTGGGGTATACTAGTAGATAGAAGGGGCACTGGATGGGTGGTAGGGGCACTGCACAGTGGGGGATACTAGACAGATGGAGGGGGCACTGGATAAATGTGGGGGGCACTGGATGGATGGTGGGGTCACTGGATGGACGATGGGATCACTGGATGGACGATGGGGTCACTGGATGGAAGGTGGGGTCACTGGGTGGACGGTGAAGTCACTGGATGGATGGTGGGGTCACTGGATGGATGGTGGGGTCACTGGATGGATGGTGAGGTCACTGGATGGATGGTGGGGTCACTGGATGGATGATGAAGTCACTGGATGGATGGTGGGGTCACTGAATGGATGGTGAAGTCACTGGATGGATGTTGGGGTCACTGGATGGATGGTGGGGTTACTAGATGGATGGTGAGAGCACCGGAAGGATGGTGAGAGCACTAGATGAACAATGGGGGTTACTGGATGGATGGTGGGATCACTGGATGGAAGGTGAGGGGCACTTGGTGAATGGTGGGAGTCACTGGGTAGATAGCAGGGCACTATATAATGGGGGATACTGGATAAATGAAGGGGGCACTGAATGGGTATGGGGGGTATTGTATGGACAGCGGAGTCACTGGATGGATGGTGGGGACACTTGGTGGATGGGGAGTCACTGGATGGAAGGTTGGGGCACTGGATAGATGGTGAGAACACTAGATGGATGAACGGGGGGATGGATGGAAGGTGAGGAGTACTAGATGAATGGCAAGGGTCACTGGATGGATGGTAGGGGCACTGCATAGTGGGGGATGCTGATTAAATGGAGGGGGCACTGAATGGGTGTCGGGGGCACTGGATGGGCAGTGAGGTCCCTGGATCAATGGTTGGGGCACTGGATGCATGGCGGGGGACTAACTTCAGTGTCCGTGCAGGAGTAGGGACAGTCATGGTCACTCCAGCTGAGAGCTGTAGGGGGCTTTTCCTGCCTAACAACATTTTCAAAATGTGTAAGCCCTTGAGGTTTTTGTACGATCTGGGGGAGGGGAGGGAGTCATGAGAGTAAGATAGTGCTCTCCTCTGCCTTTGGTGGATGGGACCAGGAAACAGTTCTAATTTAGTTTGCAAAATAAATGAAGGAGGTCTTCCTTGCATCCTTGGAATATGGAGCTCTTTGGACTGCCAAGGTCATCTTTGCTTCTCCCTGGCCCTTTCTCTCATCAGTGCTCTCTCTTCGCCTTCCTCTCAGCCTCACACCTCAGTACACTCCCTCTTCCTCCTCCTCCCTGCAGACTGCAGGCATCTGTCTTGGAGCTGCATTTACAGACTATTTTCTCTTTTTCCTTTTTAATATTAGAGAAGGTTATGAAAACATGAAGGAGGAGATTTATTTTGTTATGATACTGACTTTTTGTCCTTACACAGTTAAAAAACATAAACAGAGTAAAGCACTTTACCAGCTTAGGCCTTAGTTGCAATCTCTTTAAAATGCAGGGGTTAGAATCTCTAACAGCCTTTCTAGTTCAAAAGTCTTGTGATCTTTGATATAGTTGGGAAGTACTATTCAGTCATATTCACACACCCAGTGATAGACCTGGAGCCGTGGTGATGCCTTTGGCTATCCTAACTTGTGTAGCTGACTTGCCCATGCTAAGGGCTCACCCTAGGAAGAAGGCCTGTGGGCCTGGGAGAGAGGCAGGTTTTACTCCCATACTCAAAAGCACTGCAGGAGAGAGTGTTTCCTAACTTCAAATTGCTCAAAGACATGAAGCTCAGGGTCAGCCTCACCTCTCGATTTGCAGCTTCATGGAAGACCTATTCGAAGTAAAATATTAAAACATTTTTGTTTTTAACACGTAATCACCAAACAGTGTAATCAAATACTCTTCTGGTCTTTTCCTCTCTCTATAAGAATCCTTAATATCTTTGTGCATAAAATGGGGGTAATTGCTTGTGGGATTATTGGAAAGACTGAATGAGATAAGGTATAAAATGTACCGCTCAAGGATTTTGTGAATAGGAGCTTCTTCGTAGAAGCTATTGCCAGTAAATCCCATGCTCTTATACCTCCTGTTTTGTTTACATCAGCAACAGGTCATGACTATCCTCCCTCATATTCCTCAGGGTCCTGAAAGTATCTTTTTGTTGTTGTTGTTTGTTTGTTTGTTTGTTTGTTAGAGATGGAGTCTCGCTCTGTCACCAGGTTGGAGTGCAGTGGCGCGATCTCGCTCATTGCAACCTCCAACTCCCTGGTTCAAGTGATTCTCCTGCCTCGGCTTCCTGAGTAGCTGGGGTTACAGGCAGGTGCCACCATGCCCGGCTAATTTTTGTAATTTTAGTAGAGACGGGGTTTCACTATGTTGGCCAGGATGGTCTCGATCTCCTGACCTCATGATCCACCCACCTTGGCCTCCCAAAGTGCTAGGATTACAGGCGTGAGCCACCGCGCCTGGCCCAAAGTATCTTTTTTTGCGAAACCAGATTTCTCAGCCACGAGCACAATGAGTCCAGGGGATCATCAACCCAGTGATCCATTTCTTTGGAACTCTACTTGCATGATTTTCCATATTTAATGACATTCCACCAGCAGGATAAACATACACGCAAGGTTGAATCATCTTTCCTTTCCCCTTGGATCAGGAACCCAAGAAAACAGATGCAGGAAGCAGGTGGGAACGCTGGTGAGCAGGATGTTGCTTCTGCCATGCTTCTACTGCTCAGCGGCCCCAGCGGGGATGTGGTGGGAGGAATGAGGGGGCTCTTCAGCTATCTGGGGGCTCATCTCAATAATATACAGCAGGTCTTCAGACAAGGGACACAGTATGGGCTGCCTAAAATAGCTCTCCCAGAAGCTTTCAATCAAGGCCAGAAAGCAGCAGTTTCCACAGCAGCAGTCGAGAGGGTTTTGGGAGAGCCACACCACACTGCTGTTTTGTTTAGAGCAGGGGTGTTCAATCTTTTGGCTTTCCTGGACCACAATGGATGAGGAATTGTCTTGGGCCACACATAAAATACACTAGCACTAACGATAGCTGATGAGCTTAAAACAAATACATTGCAGAAAAATCTCATAATGTTTTAAGAACGTTTACAAATGTGTGCTGGGCTGTATTCAAAGTCATCCTAGGGGCTGGGCGCGGTGGCTGACGCCTGTAATCCCAGCACTTTGGGAGGCTGAGACAGGCGGATCACGAGGTCAGGAGATCGAGACCATCCTGGCTAATACGGTGAAACCCCATCTCTACTAAAAATACAAAAAAAAATTATCCGGGCGTAGTGGCGGGCGCCTGTAGTCCCAGCTACTCGGGAGGCTGAGGCAGGAGAATGGCGTGAACCCGGGAGGCGGAGCTTGCTGTGAGCGGAGATCGCGCCACTTGCACTTCAGCCTGGGCGACTGAGAGAGACTCTGTCTCAAAAAAAAAAGAAAAGAAAAAAAGTCATCCTAGGCTGCATGTGGCCTGTAGGCTGTGGACTAGACAAGCTTGGTTTAGAGATTCAGGACACATGGACAATGAGGGAAATTCTATAGGAACCTATACAATTTGGCTGCCAAGGGAGAGAACTAACACACATCTGGCAAGTGTATTCTGGCTAGAGGAGGAGAAGGGGTCCCCAGAGAATATCTCTTTGAGCACTTTTAGGGGATAGAAGGGTTTCCAGATCGGATGAAAGAAATGACAAAAAAGAAAATTAAAGATGAGGAGACCTCCAAAGAGATAAACAGAAATCAAAGTGTGGAGAGGGGCAAGTGGAAGAACATGACATTTAAAAATGTATATACAGATACCCTCACCTTATTTCATAGCAGGCCTTGAAGACATTTATAGAAGCATACACAATACAGAAGGATAATACATAAATGAAAGGATTTGGGTTTCAAAAGGCTTTTGAAACTTCTGGCTAAAGATGGCAGCATAAAGGCATTTGTAATTCTTGTCTCTCCTTAGAAACACACTGAAAACAAACATGAATAAAACAGAGGGAAAGAAAACTCTTCCTATTTAGTGGAACAAGGAAAAGGCCACAGCCCCAAACCACAAACTATGAACCACACCGTGAAATCTGGAGAAAAATGAGAGAGGAATAGGGATCACCTCAGGGCTTGAGCAGGGAAGATTTCTCTAAATGTGAGTGCTTCCATCCCGAAAGGAGCCTTTGATTAGAATGACCCGCTCTAAGGCTGGATGGGCCACTGGATAGATAGGAATGTCCCTGTGGAGGACCAACGCGTCCTAGAGAACATCTGGGAAGTTGGAGCTAAAGGTGAAATCCACCATTTCCATTTTCCGAGATCAACTCCTGGTTAAGAGCAATGGCTAGAGTCGAGATGGGTGATCAAGGCTTGGGAAGCAGAATTTGCTATTTGCCAGTGAGCCTGTAATTTAAAAGGACTTGCTGTGAACACCATGGACCAAACATTGCAGGAAAATAAGCATCCAGTGTAAAGGAAATAATGGCTTTGATGAAACAGGGTCAGAGACAAGAAACCTAACCCAAAGTTTCAGACTCTTCCAGCTCACTTCTGCTCATCTCCACATGAATCTTCAATAAACAGCTAATGGCATCCAAAGCCAATAAGAAACACAGAAGAACCCACACGGGGTTAGGTATAGGTCCTGCGAAGAAAGGAGGCAGATGACTTACGAGGGGGCACAGCATAAGGAACATCTTGAGTATGTCTGAAACATCCAGGATGCTTCACACTGGTGTGTCATCTAGTGGTGACAAATGAAAACATTATTTCGGTTGTGAAAAAAAACAGACTTGGTTGTGGACTTGAGTTAGCCAAGTAAATATTTTCTTGGCAGTGTACAACATCAGTGCAAAATGCCTATTACACATTCACTATAATTACAGCATTCAATTAACATTCTCAATGATCGCTTTGGGCCCGGTGGTGGCTGAGACTTGGGAGGTGTGAGCTCTGCCTTATATTTTTGCTTGGAAACTGCGAATATTTGAATTTGGAGATTTGATATGGAAAAACTGGTGTAGAGAATAGAAGGCGGATGTGAGCTGTGGCAGGTTCACATCACAACTCGTTGCCCAAACTTTTCAGTGAAACTGATCTTACTAAGTTAAAAAAATCAGTTTCCAATCCAATAGACACTTTGAATTATTAGTTTACTCAATATATTTATGAGGAATATAGGGTTTGGACCATCCTTTTCCTCTGCAGAGGATTAGAAAGGTAATCTAGAAGGAAAGATGTATGTAGCAAACACATTATACCTCTTCTAAACACAGGGGGGCAATGATTAATTGAGTACCTCTTATGAGCAATTTGTGGTTATTTGTTAAGTATATAACCACTCTGTGAAAAAGGTGGCATTATTTCCATTTTACAGGTGAGAAAACTGACTCAAAGAGGCTAAATAATTGGTTCAAGATCACACAGCTAGCAACTGGAGGAGCTGGGATTCAAACCCAATTCTTAGGCAGGGCGTGGTGGCTTATACCTGTAATCCCAGCACTTTAGGAAGCTGAGGCGGGTGGATCACCTGAGGTCAGGAGTTCGTGACCAGCCTGGCCAACATGGTGAAACCCCATCTCTACTAAAAATACAAAAAAATTAGCTGGGTGTGGTGGTAGACATCTGTAATCCCAGCTACTCAGGAGGCTGAGGCAGGAGAATCATTTGAACCTGGGAGATGGAGGTTGCAGTGAGCCGAGATCGCGCCACTGCACTCCAGCCTGGGCAGCAAGAGCAAAACTCCATCTCAATAAAAAAACAAACAAGCAAAAAAAAACCTCCAATGCTTAGAGAACGAGCCAATTAGCATCAAGAGTCAGAATATGAGGCCGGGCTCAGTGGCTCACGCCTGTAATCCCAACACTTTGGGAGACCAAGGCAGGAGGATTACTTGAGCCCAGGAGGTCTGGACCAACCTGGGCAATGTGGCAAAACCCCGTCTCTATAAAAAAGACATGAGCTAGGCGAGATGCTGCATGCTGTAGTCCCAGCAACTTGAGAGGCTGAGGTGGGAGGACCACTTGAGCCCAGGAGGTCAAGGCTGCAGTGAGCTGTGATTGCATCACTATACTCCAGCCTGGGTGACAGAGTGCCACTCTGCCTCAAAAAAGAAAAAAAATAGTCAGAGTATTGGAGCATTCCTCAGTCAGAAGTGCTTCTTAAAAGAAATCAACCTACTTAAAAACTTTAATGGAGTCCAAAACAGAAATCTGAACATAAGCATTTTACTGTATTTTCATGCATACAAAATCTCATCAAAATGGCCAAAGGAATATAATAAGAGAGAAAAAAATAAATGTGCAGGCAAATAGGGAAGGGTGCTATCCACTCCCTAGAAATGACAAGCACTTTCTGCAGATTGCAGTGAAGATGTATCTGGATAGGAGGGGTGGTGGGCTGATCAGGAACACCTGATCACATGCCATTAACACCTGCTCACTTGTGCATGGGTGGAGATGAAGGTGGCCCATGGGACCACTAGAAGCTTATTTGAGCAAGAAGTAGGTCAAGGTGCACCCTCTTGCCTCACATGGGCCTGCATGGAGACCTGTTGAGGCAAGGTCCCCATTTTTCATCAGCCTTTAACATAGGCGGTGCCCAGCACCAGGAAGTGGCAGAGTCAGGGCTTGAATCTGCTCTGGAATTCAGAACATTTACAGCTGGGAGGCTGACCATTTACCCAAATGGTGTTGAGGACACCGAGATAATTGGGAAGCATCCTTACCTTCCATGAGTCTCAGTCTTTTGTGGGATGCAGAGTAAACTGAGCTATGACAAATGTCAGGGAAGCCCCCAGGGGCATGGAAAGCTCAGAACAGAGAGTGATTCTGTGTTTAACATAGAAAAGGAGCAACTTCAGAAAAGGTGATGTTGCTGGACCTTTTTTTTTTTTCTTTTGAGATGGAGTTTCACTCTTGTTGCCCAGGCTGGAGTGCAATGGCACAGTCTCGGCTCACTGCAACCTCCACCTCCTGGGTTCAAGTGATTCTCCTGCCTCAGGCTGGTCTTGAACTTCCGACCTCAGGTGATCCACCCACCTCGACCTCCCAAAGTGCTGGGATTACAGGCATGAGCCACTGCACCCGGCGTGGACTTTAAGGTTACCGGGTAATTGTTGACCTATGGGGGCAGGTGTGGCTCAGAATATATGGAAGTATATGAGGAAGAGAGGAGTGGATGGGATGATGGGAGAACATTCTTGGGAAAATGGAAGAGACTGCTCACCCCCTGCCACACACACTCACACACCCGAGGGGGCACGCTTCCAGTCCCATGAGGAAAGTTTGCTGAAAGGTGCCTGAGGTGCCTGAGCAGGGGAGTGGGTGGGACAGTGTTCTCCCATGAATGTCTTAGAATGTTCTGGGATATTCCTGGGTGCTCTGGCAGGAATCATCATGAGGGTAGTTCAGGGAAGAGGGAGGGATTGCTGCTTTTTAATGGCAGCAGGAAACTCCCTGCCATTAGAGAGGATAATGTGGCTTTATACTTGTGTCTAAGGTGGCCATCCAATTATGCCACATCCCTGGGTCTCAGCTAAGAAGACTGAGAAGTAAAACAATTATGTTGGTACAGGCTAGTACTCACTGAACATCAGCTTCCCCATCTGCAGACTGGAGCGAGGTAAAAGTTCTCCCATCATGCAGTGACTGTTAGTAAAGAGCCTGGAATATACAGTATAAGCTTAGCAACAATAAATGGAATCATTATTTTTTTCAAGTTATCCCTATTCCAAGTTCAGTGCTTCTTTCACTAGTCACCAATGACCTCTTCTGGAAAAGCAAACAGAGAAGCAAACAATTTTAAATTTAATTTGTACAACATGTTAAAATTTGTTGGTTGCATTCTTCCTACATCCTTGGGCAAGCTTTCTCAAGCGTTCTCATGTTAGTGTTTAGTACATGTTGTTCCCTCTGCCTAAAACCCCTTTCCTCATCATTTCCCCAATTGACTTCAACATTCAGTTCAGCTGTCACCTGTGCCCCTGCCTCTGGTCTGCATGTCCCTCTTCTGATATACCTCTAACATGCATACCCTCACCCTGGATTGTAACCACTGGGACATCTGTCTCTCTTACTAGATCATGAGCTTCTGAGGATAGGGGCTGTGTTTTATTTCCTTCTATCTAGTTCCTAGCATGTAGTAAACCCAAACAAATGTTTGTTGAAGATCAAGTTGAAACAGAACTTGGGAATTATTTGGAGGAAAATGCATTTTTCCATTATTTGCTTTGAGTCACTATGCACTGAAAAAAAAAGTTCTGAACTTAGATAAATTCTCATGATTCATTCATTTAAATAATCCCTGCTCCCTCTGCCCCAAGACTCCTCAATACTGGCATTGTTCCAGGCTCTGGGATATAAAGATGAATGAGAGAGTCAGTTTCTGCACCCAAACTGAATGAGTATGACATCAGAAGTCTACATCTTGTATTCAAGGGGAAGAGCCACCAAGCTTCCCCTACAAAGAGGTGATGGAATTGTCTCCCAGTAGTTGGCTCTGATGTCTGTATTATAAAGCATTAATCTAATGATTGAACAGTAAAATACAAAGCTGTTGAATTTGGGCCCTCATAATAGGTGTAGAAATAATAGTGGTCCAGGGGTCAGGAGATCCAGGCTCTTGTGTGTTTAGTTATGAAAGTTTGCATGACTTTGGGCAACTTGCTTCCTCTCCTGTGGCCTCAGTTTCTGCCTACGAATAAAGAGATGGGAGGAGACAATCTCTATGCTTCCTTCCATGAAGCTTGGGTCTGTGACAGCTTAAAGCAGGCCCTGAAATCCATCAGCAGGAGCACTTTGATTGGGAAGATACCCTATGGCTCACAAATTGGACTTTCGCCTTCCCCAGCTGTGTGAATGGCATCTCATCAATACGGTCATAGCATCTGGCTTAGAGAGTCAATGCACTGCCTCTGAATTGATTTTCAGAACCTTATTGCTGATCAGTAAAGGCCGTCTTAATATCTAAATGAAAGTCTATGAACTAGACCAACAAAGTGGCCTCAGAAAGGTGGGGGCAGAATTCTGAGTACCAGGAGGTGACTCTGTTTATTTGTTTCCTAATTCTAATTAGAGAGAGGAAAAGAGTGTCAGGAGCCTTTAGTGATTCACATCTTAATAGCCTGGTTATAATTTATTAATCCCTTTCATCAAATTTTCAGCATCCCTTTCCCCAGGAGTCTAAGACTGACTCAAATGTATTTATTGTTTCTAGGTGGGGTGTCATTAAATATTTGGCATCTCCTAAAGCTGGTTGGGAAACTGGATTATATACTACGTGCAGGCACACAATTTCTGAAGGGAAAAGCATGAACTGATAAAACATTAGGCAGAATGAAAGATATATGCATATTTTCTGCAATATTGGCAATACAGAGCTACCACTTCACTCTCTCCTGCAATTTCCCCTCACCAGTTAATCCAGTGGTTTTCCTTAAAGTAAAGCACCAGTACAAATAATACATGTGTTTATTCATTATTTTATTCATTCTAGTCCTCTTCACCTATGATGCACCAGAAATGTGGCAACATTATTAAGGGTCTATCATTACCACAGAGCAGAAAAGTGTTTCAGGGGTCATTGTAAAGATCAGGAAACTGAAGCCGGGAGTGGTGAAAAGACTAAGAATCATAGCTTTTTAAGATGGAAAAGGATCTAATAGGTCTATTCTCTTTTGAGGCTGTAAACCTTCTACAGCATTTCTACCCAAAGTTGTCCTGCCAGAGACAGAGAGCTCATGATCTTCAGAGGCAGCTCTTCCATCCTGGAGATCTGGCCATTAGAAAGTCCTTCCTCAGCTGCACTAAAACCTTCCTTCCTTCAGTTTCTTCCTTATAGTCTCGTGGTTTCTGAGACATCCTTGGACCCTCGTTAGCAAATGAGAGGACTGGATGCTGGGTGAAGCCAGAGTGGGAAGGATCATGGGAGAGGGACAGCCAAGACACACACAGACACCAGTAGCCCCGGGCACTTCTGCCCCAGATGGGATGGTTTCCTGGATACAGTGGAACATTAACTATTCATACAACTTGTTCTGATTAAGAAAAGGAAGCCCTCAACGTGCTTTAATCTAGTTTATTGGAATTCTATAATAGATCTTAGTGTTAAAGCCTCAGCTAATAATGTCTTATTTTGGTACTTTTGAGCCTTTGTATTTCCCTTGGGTGCCTCATGAGAAAGAAAGTGGTTGGACCTAGGCAGAATTTAGAGTATACCTGGCTCCCCTGCCCCAAATCCTTTTTCTTTCTGTTTCCCAGGCTGGAGTGCAGTGGTGAGATCTTGGCTCACTGCAACCTCTGCCTCCTGGATTCAAGTGATTCTTGTGCCTCAGCCTCCTGAGTAGCTGGGATTATAGGCATATGCTACCAGGCCAGGCTAATTTTTGTATTTTTAGTAGACACAGGGTTTTGCCACCTTGGCCAGGTTGGTCTCGAGCTCCTAGCCTCAAGTGATCCACCTGCTTTGGCCTCTCAAAATGCTGGGATTACAGATGTGAGCCACTGGGCACAGCCCCAAATCCCATTTTTATATCACCTCTCAAACTTAGGACCTCTCAGACAGCAGACATTGACACTGTATACCCTTGGGCTCACATAGATTATCCTTGAACCCACAGAGTGCACATTTGGGCTCACACTGTCCGTTCTCAGCCTCCTTCCTTGACTACCAGATGCATCATTGGTCCCTTTGGGCCTTCTGTTTCTTAGTTCCTCTTCTCCTTGTAAAAGCAGGGGCCCTTTAGCATCTTTGGTCCAACATTTGTTTATATAACCAGGGCCTGCCCAGCGCTTCCAGCTTTCTTAATCACCAGTTTTCTTTGGAGAGCAGGGCCTTCAGCATCTTTATTGGCCTATCTTAAAAGTGCACATACTCCTTTGTGGAGCCTTTTCTCTTCCCTATGAATAGGCAACATATAAACCTTATAACTTAACCAAAATCTACAAATTCTATCTTTATAGTTATTTTAAATAATATAAACCAGTTCTCTCCTAAGAGTTGTCCCATCCATGCATGATGAACATGTTCATGGAAGACCCAGTATACAGACCCTCCACCTGGCTTCTAGTTATCCTGGAGCCAGCTTGCTGAAGGGCCTTAAGGTTTCCCAGTGGCTTGGTGCACCACATCTGGAGCGTGTGCACATCTCACACCCAGCCCACCAATGAGCAAGCATGATCTGGGGAAGCTCGCCTTGGGCCTCCAGCATTTTTTCTAACAAAGACATTATGAAAATCTCTCAAGGTACAAACCCTCGGAAGCAGAGTAGCTGACATCAAACTTCCCACTATGTTCAACACTTCATTTGAGCAATGAAATATAGGATGGAATTTGTACTGAATTTCTTACTAATGGGTCTTTAGAGGAGATTTGCACTGCCTGCTGTTGTCCAGCTATTTTCTCAAGAGAATTACCTTGTAGTCACCACAGTATGTATTACTTTGGCCAAAAATCAAACCAGATGGTGAAAGATTTGGTCATTGAGTGACACTGGTTGTTATTGTGATGATAATAGTAATAGCTAACTATATAACAGTAGCCTGAGTCCTAGGCACTTTCTATACGTTGTCTTTAATCCTCACAGCTGCAGGAAAATATATATTATTGGTGGTTGTGCTGAAATGACAAGATGTTTTGCTGAGATCTCAAATCCACAAGTCCATCAGCTTCCTACCTTGTCTGGCACCAGTCCTGCTATGTCCATGAGCAGGGCACAGATCAGCAAAGCCAGTCAGAGGGAAAATGTTACTACAGAGAAAGCTTTGGCACCAAATCTTCTCACCCTGGTGAGATAGACTAGACTATATCCAAACTGTAGCGTCCAAATTTGTGCCCCTAGATTAATCAAGTCCATCACTAAAAGTCATCCTAGCTCATTGTAGGAGCTATCATCTCCATGAGCAGAATTAAGGAAGGACACTTCCAAGGAAAAGAGCATAAAAGGGAAAGAAAGCATTATCCTGAGATCTGGTAGAGCAGGCTTAAATCTCCTACCTTACCCTCTCGCTTAGAAAATTATGGTGGAAGAGTGGGGCTTTATAAGCTAGAATATTGCCCTAGGCCCTTGTTAGCCAACTACAGTTACAGACATAATCAGTCTCAAAAGGAAAAAGCATCCAGTAGGGTATGCCATGTAGAAGGAATAGTTTTTAAAGTTTTGTGTTCCACCCACTGAAATTCTTTTTGTTAGCACAGAAATGGTAAATTACTGAGATGTGTGCAGATGCTTTCTGCTCCGGAACCACAGCCAACATCCCAAATCAATGAGGGCGCTCATTCTTGCCAAACCTAGATTCTTTCTCAACATGGTGCTCTAAGCATCTGTATTAGATAATTGGAATTGGAGAATGGTTGAAATCCATTTGCCACTATTATCTTAGCACCCCAGTAGAGCAGTGCTCATCACTCATGTCAGAAAATTCCTGCTTATGAGCAGATTGTTTAAAAAGGTGTTTTAGCTTTCCTCTCCAGAGGTTGGAGCCTGCAGCCAACACACCCTCATAATTTGACCTTCTCTCTTTAACTCAGGGACGTGGGTGTTATCCTTGGTACAGAAAAATCAAGAGAATCAGAAAACTCTTGCTCAATTCTTCATTTGGACTTTAATCTTTTCCTCTTCTCTTATGTCTAGATGTGAAGCCAATGAATGGGAAGCTCAGTATTTTCCTCATGGTTTCCATGTTAATTAGTCACATAGTCTCACCTGTTCTAACTTCCATCTGGAAATATGCTCAGATACTTTATACAAACAAGCTCACCAGACAGGTGCCTGCAGTGTGCATGGCAGAGGAAGTAACCCCCTTAGGAGTAAAAATAACATATATCCTGGATGAATGCTAAACCAGACAGGAAGTCAGGACAACAGACTGGGACTTTCCTGAGCAAATGTGGGAGTAAGGCCACGTTAGTCAACACTATCTCTAAGAAGCACCTGGTATCAGTCCCATACTTACAGAATGTAGAAATCACAAGCATATCTCCATATTGATGTGACTTCACTTTTTCCCTCTAGCCTGATATCTAGACTAGGAGCAGGCCAAGTATCTCTCTGATTCCATTTCCCTACTTCTCAAATTAAGGAAAAAAACCCAGGGGTGCTTTTAAAAAAACACTTATAACATGTGACCAACCAATATGTAAAACAATATACCCCTAGAAATGGAGATAATTGAAGCCTATCCCTGCCATTTGGATGCTGTCAATCCCCAGAGATGGGCTGTATGGAGGAGTCTTAATCTTATTTAATCCCAGTTCATTATCTCCTGGAAGCGCGCATATGTGGTTGGCGTTCAGCTTGGAGATTAGTTTGTTTTCCATATGCTGCAAGTGAGTCCTGGCACAACAGTTTGTCTTCTTGACTCTCTGGAACTTTGGGAAAGCAGGACACATGAGAGAGTGAGCATTAGATGGACCCAACTTGGCAGGTCAACAGAGGATGGTTCCAGTCTGTCTTCAGCTGCTGAGGAAGAGACCCAGCTTCCATCTAGGCTCCTACAGCTCTTACAGCTGGGACCAAGTGAAATAAAAAGAAACAAGGGATAATTGTTGAGAGATTTTACGTACTTTGAGATTTTTCTCTCTGTGGCAAAGGAGGTATATTTAATGTTTCTGTGGACTGATAAAAATAGGAGAGGATAGGCAATGATAACTTAATAGGGTGGTGGCAAATTGGGGTGTTGCGGTTACAATCATAGTCCATTGCTCTTGGATGTTCATTATGTAGTCTTTGGCTTGTTAGCCACATGGTTAATATGAGAGAACGTGACTTTTTAGCTAAGTGTAGACAGTGTACGGCAGCATGAAAGAGACATTCATAAAGACCTTGGGTGTGTGGACCTCCCATCTCGATGATCCCATGTGGGACCGAGTGGCAACAGTGGAAAGGACTAAGAAACAGTGTTGCCAAGATACTACTAGGGCTATCCTGGTAATTCATGATTTTGTCACTTTAGAGTGACAGCTGTGCCCCTGGTGGGCCTGGTCTTTGAGCCCATTGGAATAACTGGAGAGGAACAGAAAGGTTGGCCTCCAGAGGGTGCACTAGGCACTGCCGCTGGTGGAGATCAAGTCAAGGTCCTGCTTGGATTACTGTTCTCCCTGATGGAAGCAGGTTGAGAAGTTCTGGTGCCTGAGTACCAGGCGCTACTTAGATCTTCCTCCTCGTGCATAATCTCTTTTGGGAATCCCAGTCCGGGATTTCGTCTCATCTCCCATGCAGCCACTATTTGGCCTCCAAAGGCCAGTGGGACTGAAGAGTGGCACAGGCGGGTGCATGGGCAAGAGTGGCACAGGCGGATGCATGGGCGGTTGCCTTCGTTGCAGCCTAAGCTTGAGGGAGTGGCTTGCCTTCTCTGGCCCAGAGTTAGGGTGTAGCTTGAAGAAAGGGTACTCTAGAGGCCAGTTAACCACTTTCTGGCCAAAGATTCAAGCCAGGGACCAAATGGAATTCCAGACTGACATCAGTCAGCCCAAATGACTAGGCCACTTGATTAGGATTTGGAACCATGAAAAGTAATGAAGACAGTGGGCATCTTCCTGCCTTTGGTCACCCTGCTACAGGGCCACAGCAAGCAGCTACACGAGATCCAGAGGTTTCCAACCTGGCTTCTTACGGACAAAACTATTCAGGATCATCCGTATACAGATGAGGTCAGATGGCTTAGAAGTGGCAGAACCGGGATTGAAACTTTGCTCCAACTCTTCTTTGCAATGCACCAGTGGTCTGAGAGTCAGGAGGGATACCCAGGAAAGCTCTCCCTTTGGGTCTTGATTTCTGCATCTGAAAAATGCCTGACTTACACCAGGCCTTCTTCAAATTTGACATTTAGTGATTTGTTACGGTATCACGGCTCCTAATATTTGATTGAGGGTCTTGGCATTTTGATCTTCCTTTAAACAAATGCAGTCAAATCAGGAATTCAAGTCTGTAGCCAATGAACTTTCCGCCCCCGTTATGAGAAACTATCCCCAGAATCCCAAAGAAATCAAGGTCCAGGACTCACCCCAGGGGAGGATTCTGCATACACATAACTTACTTTGCCTTAAAAATACAAAACCTTGTGACGTCCTTCCCTCCCTCCACCTCACCCCCTTAAAGTCAATGACTTTCAACATCTTTCCCTTTCCAAGTCCTCGCAGAATTTTAGGCAAATTAAAGCAGGAACATTTGATCTTCTTCCCAGATGTTTTGATCACAGAAGGGCCACATATGTGCACACATTCCTGGATATTTTTAGATCTTTACAGGATCCAATGCTCTAACTGCTTTTTCACTCTGCGCTTTGTGACCACTGCTGGAGACACTCTGCCAAGGCAGCAGAGGCAGAGGCTGGTGGAAGAGGCTGGCACGGGGGAGGCTTCCAAAGCAGCCCCACTCAGTGATGCTCAGGGAGATAGCTGCCTGGAGCCATTCTTGGAGCCTGCAAAACTTTAGGCCCTGGAGCCTCTCTAGCCACCAAGAGGAAACAAACCACCACCATTTAAAAAATATGGGTTACACACATACTTTCTGGGAGAATTCTGTTTGCCAGTTCTTTAAACACACACACAAAGGCCTCAGTAGAGAGGTAGCAAGGCACAGTAGAGAAAATATTGAACAAAAAGTCAGCAGATGTGCCTCTGGCTGGCTACGTGATAAGTTACCTTTCTCTACTAGGCCTCAGTTTTTCCATGCAAAATGGGATGCATCATACTTGTAGCACAGGGATCTGAAAACTATGCCTGCCAACTGGCTGCCTGTTCTTGTGACTAACGTTGTATTGGGACACAGCCTTGCTCATTTGTTTATGTATCGCCTGTGGCTGAGCTGCAAGGGCAAAGTTGACTAGTTGCAACAGAAACCATGCAGCCAACAAATCTAAAAAAATCCTGGCCAATTAAGAAAAAATTTCCTGGCCCGTGATGTGGCAGATGTGGTACCTGATATGCCAAAAGAGCCCTACTCCCAGAGACTGGCCCTCCTTTCTCTTGGGGGAGGGGAGGTAGAAGTCGATGTGGGAAAATCCTAAAATGGGTTTCTTACTGATTCCCAGAGGTCTCCAATAGTGTTGCACCCACAACAGTACATTGGCACCCCCACGCTCTCAGCTTTCCCTATCTTCTCTGTTTCCTCTACCAGTGCTTCCTGGAGTCTCTTCCTCCACAAAGCCTCTTGCATTCAAATTTTTGACTCAGGATCTGCTTCTAGGGGTTCCCAGACTAAGACAGGATGTAACTCTGGTGCACTTTCTTCTTCTCCCTTGGCTGGTTCCCACTGGCACGAAGCTGCCCATTGACTTCTGGGCTTAGGTGAAATGCCAGAACACCTAAGGGATGTGTGTCCCTGAATGGCCACCATGGTGCTGGACAACACGCCCCAGAAGTGGAGGGGACATTGCTCTCCATGAAGTCAATCTTGATCATGGGAGGGAAGCTGTCAGACAAGCATCCTCTGCTTTTTCCCTCCTTGGGCTTCTGGGAAGTGTGCTTTCTCTTTGTAAGCCTTCCAGGGAATTCTGGGCACTGAGCAAGCACTTCTGTCAAGAGACCTACTGTGTCTCTTTGGCAATTTTTTTTGTGTAGTGGAAACTTGCACAATAACCTCCAAATCTTCCTGTCTTCCTTCCTAATTTTTTCCTCACCCTGAGAACCCTAGGTTTGCACCTCTCAAATAAAGTCCCAGCATTGTAATTCTTGCCTTAGGCTCTTATTACTAGAGGACCTGGGCTAAGGCATGGCCTTGGTTTAGATATCTCTAAAGACTCTTTCTGCTGTGACATAATAGACTGGTACAAAATTCCATACTTCCAATACCTAAGGATAAAAAAATTTATGTATATATACTGTACTGGAAATAAAACACCATTTAATTCCTGCAGAGATTAGTTTCTGAGGTATGCCAGGGGTCTTGCTTGTTATAATTCCAATTGGACCAAGAGAGAAAGTTATAATAATTATTAATAATGTTTATTATGTTTTATATGCTAGGCCTTGGGTTAAGTACTTTAAAGGCATTTAGTGTTTGATCTTCACTCTAACCTTACTGGGTTCTTTTATCCTCATTTTACACAAGAGGAAGATGAAGTTCAGCGAGGATAAGCCACTTATCCTAAATTGCACAGTAAATGGCCAAGCCAGAAAATGAAACTAGGTCTGATGGATTCCAAAGACCATGTTCATAATTTTCAAAACTCTGTCTTTGAATATATGTTTTACCAATGAAAATATATGAATGGCAAATAAGCACAGGAAAAGATGCTCAACATCCTCAGTCACTAGGAAAATACAAATTAAAATCATGGTAAGATACCACTACATACCCACTAAAATGGCTAGAATTAAAAAGACTGACCAAACCTAGTGCTGGTGAAGATATAGAGGAACCGGAACTCTTGTACACTGCTGATGGGAGTGTAAAATGGTACAATGATTTTGGAAAACAGTGGTAGTTTCTTAAAAAGTTAAACATAAATTGATCATATGACCCAGCCATTCAACTACCAGGTATTTAACCAAAGAAAAATAAAAACATATGTCTACACAAAGATTTGTATGCAAATGTTCATGACAACTTTATTTGTAATAGCCAAAAACTAGAAACCCTCCAAATGTTCATGGGCAGCAGGTGGAGGAACAAATTGTGGTACACCCGTCTTCTTTTGATGACCCAATTGATTTCACATCACCTTCTGTACTTTCTCCAGTTCCCCAAGTATCTTCTGCCATTGAGGCCAGATCTGCCCATCTATACACTATCAGGAGAAACTGGAGGCTTCTATTTTTCATGTTCACCCTGTTGAGAGAACCCACAGTCTGGTGGGAGAGACAGATACACAAGTCAGCCATCCCAGCAGCTGTCTTGTGTGATGTTCTATGAAAGAGAGGCTGTGTGCTACCCCAGGAACAAGGAAGATGCAGGATAGCAATGAAAGAAGGCTTCTCAAATATGCCACAGCTGGATGCAGAACAGGGAATGGGGAGTGAGTATCTGTCAGACAGAAGTGGAAGGAGAGCATTCCAGACAGGGTATGGAATCTCCTTCCTCAAGGGCAAGGACTTTGGAGTATCTGGGATGTTGATGGTCTGGTGTGACCAAAACTCAGTGGGAGATGAGGCTGAAGGGTAAGCCAGGGCTTGATCATGGAAGGAAGTCTTAGTGTGTGTGCCGAAGGGTATGGGCTCAAATTTGAGGGCACTAAACAGGCACGGAAGGTTCCAAGCCTGGAACTCACAGCTGCAGCTCACTCTGGTGGGTTTATTCATGGGGCCCTGCTCAAATCTTCCCTAGCAAAGCTGCTTTCTCTCTAGATCGGGGTTTCTCAACAGCAACACTATCATTTGAGGCTGGATTATTCTTTGTTGGGGGTGGGGGCTGTTCTGTGCATCAGAGGCTGTTCAGCAACAGCATCCTTAGCCTCTATTCACTAGATTCTGGTAGCACTTCCCCAGTTTCCACAACCAACAACGTCTTCAAACATTACCAGAAGTCCCCTGGGTGGCAAAATAGCTCCTGATTGAGAATCCCTGATTTGTTTTTCTTTTTTGTGAATATGTACACAGATGACTCCTCCTGTATTTGTCCTCTTCCCTCTCCCCAAGGCCTGGCAATGTCCTGCTTCCAGCCTTTCCATGAGGGACACTGGATGCTGCCATTGGCTCCCTGCATTGCCTTATTTCAGCACCTGTGGCTCATGCTCGTGGAGCTGGGGCTGGTTGTGGGGAAGCAGCTGCCAATAGCTCTGTCTACCTCTGGATCGGGTCAGTAAGGCACCTCATCTCCTGCAGGGCACACCATGTAGTGTCCAGGAGCTTCCCGGTTGGATTCCCACCCCAAGGTCAGCTGGGAACAGAACTGTCCAAGCCTGTTGGCCCTGTACCCTCTGTCCGTCAGTCTCACTGTCTGCTACGCTGCAGTCTGGAGGGAAGCATCAGCTCAGGAAGCCTGCCAGGGAGAGGGCAGCAGGCCGGGGACAGAGGGCAGGTGGTGGTAGCTGGAGACCATGTGACTCCTGGAGGCTGTGTGTGTCACAGGGCAGAGCTGGCCACTGGCTCTTCCCTTGGCTCAGCCTGAGAAGCCTTCACATGACATCTCTGTGGGAGCCTTCATGTTGTGGGCAGAGGAGAGGGAGGTGGGAGGGAAGAGGGAAGTGTTTTTAGGATCCAAGCTAGAAATACAAAATACATTTGTGAATCACAAGCTGATCCTCATCACATGACCACAATAGCTTTGCCAATGCAGAAATCAGGCTTCGGACACACATACGAAAAAATCTATCCTGCCCCTGCTATGTCTGGGCTGTGGTGGCCAAGAGAGTAAGAGAGTAAGAAAGTGGGGCACTGGAATTGGAGCAGGAGGCCAGGGAGCCAGCTATGCAGCCGGTCTCCATGTCCCAAAGCGTCACCAAAACCAGAACACAAAACCAGCCCCCATTCCAGCATTTTCTACATGCTTATTCATATGGTAATCTCATAACAGCCACATTTCCCAGTGGAAAACCGAGGCCCAGAGTGATTCCTCCATGTTCCATTTTCTTCCTTCCTTAGAGTTTCCAGGGTTCAATCTATATATATAATATTTTATTTTATTAATAAATATTAATAAAATTAATATATAATATATATAATAAAATTTATTAATAAAATTAATATATAATATAATATATAAAATATAATAACAATTGATATATATATAATATAAAATTTATATATATATAAATTTTTTTTTTACTTGTGCCATCAGCTCACTCTATCTCTCTGTGTCCCCAAACTGCATAGGGCAGGTCCTTCCTGCTGAAGGGATGTGGCGAGGATCCTGAAATTATCCCCACTCCATAAGAGAGAACTCCAGGCAGGCTGGGGCTCAAAGTCCCAAGTCTAAGAGGTTAGAAGTGCATGGGACTCTGAGTCAGGCTAGTCTAAACGGCTGCCAGGGTAAGAATGGGCCTGGCAAGCCTCTGAAAGCCCTGGAGCCTCCTTCCCCTCAGCAATGAGAGGAAAACCCCGAGGGTTCCACCAGCAGCCCCACCTCACCACCCACAGCGGGCCAAGAGCTTTATTTAGCTGAACTGAAATCTCACAGACCTGGAACATGACTCCTAAGCTGGTGTCCTTGCTGCCTAAGAGGACAAAAGCTCGTGAGTGGGCTTGGCCCCTCTGGGAAGACAGCCACCTGCCTCGTGCTTGCTGATTGTCTCACCTCGAGGGCTCTTACTTTTAAAATAACATTTAATATATTTAATCTCATTACTTAAGCAAGATCTATTCAGTGTAGAATATTTGGGAAATCCAGAAAAGTATCAACAAGGAAATTAAGTTTACCATAATCTTACCAATTAGAGACAAGCACTGTTAGAGTATTAATAGTTTTCTCCTTGATTCTTGAGTCATGGATATGTGTATAGTTCCAAAAAGCAAAACCAGAATTATGTTTTATATACATTTAAAAAGATAATGAGTTCTAACATACTATAGTAAAAGGCACAGTTCTCAAGTGTGCAGCTCAGTACATTTTCAATTTGTTACACCCTTGAGAACGTCACTCAGATCACAATATAGAGCATTGCCAGACCCCAGAGAGCCCACCCTGCCCTTCCTCAGTCAATAGCTACACGCCACCTCCAAGAAGTCATCAGTCTTGTGACTTCCATTGTTGTAGATTACATCTGCCTATTCCCGAGCATTGCACACATGGATTCATACACTATGTCCTTTTGTGTCTGGCTTCACTCACCCAATCTGTAGCATCTGCCACAAGCCTGGCCTCGAAAAAGCATGCCACATTGGCACGTTAAATGTATATGAGGTGCATGCTGAGGATTGAATGAATGAGTGAGTGAATGAATGAATGAGAGAATAGGCTTTAGCTGAGGTGTGGTCTCCCAACAGGATCCTGTGTTTTTAGTAACTATAATACCTGGTAGGCCACGGGGAAAGGGAGAGCAGGCAGGTGGCTGGTGGAATAGTCTGGGTGAGAAGAGGCGGCAACCCGAACTAGAAGGACGGTGGTGGGGACAGTGAGGAGGGAGCAGGTTGTACATGCCTGTCCCATCTGCCTGGCACTCATGAGCCCCATGAGAAGCAGGACAGATGTATTTTTAGAAATCCCCTCATACAGAGTAGCCACTCGACACTGTGTGGCTGCCTCACTGCCACAGAGTCCCAGGGACCAATGCCGAGCCCCCACAGGGGTCAAGCTTCTGGGCTGTGAGCTCACAACCCCCTACCGCCCTGCTGAGCAGGCAAGAATCATGCTCAGGTGATGAACAAGCACAAGGCAAGAGGACCCAGATGACCCTGGAGAGCATCCCACTGGAAAACGCAAGCACGTGGCTCATGGAGAAATGGGTGCTGTTGCCCTGCACCCCCAAAAAGAGATTCTTACTCCCTAGGATCAGAGGCATGGCATGGCTCCAAGCCAGGGTAGCCCCTGTACAGTTTAAAGGTGCCAGGGTTGGAAAGGACCCCTCTTCTGCCCTCACCCCGCCCAGTGCTTGAGCTCCCTTTGACATTCTTTTCAACACGGGCTCAGCTTTCATGCCTCCTTTTCCCTTTACTCCATAATCAGCACCCTAGACTTAGCCACCACTATCTCTCGCCTGCTCTGTCTTGCCACCTTCTTTCTCCGTCTGCTCCTGCTCCCTCTTATCCTCTTATCTGTCTCACCCTGCAGCCGGGAGTCGTTGCTCGCCATAGATGTAGCTTGTGACAAAGTGGCTGGACCCTGCCAGAGAAGGAGCAATGTTATTGGAGAGGGACGGAGCCAGAGCAGCAGGAGAGAGCCGCTGGGCCATGCCGGTGGGAGGAGGAGCCACGGAAAGGACAGTGCCCCGGGAGCCACCAGCAGCAAGGGTAAGATGTTTAATGGAGGGACAGGGCAGGCAGTGCTTGGATGGCACAGGTAGGTCTGGTACCAGGCAGGATTTTATTGTTTGATGAAGATTCATTGCCCTTGATTCTTCTCCTTGGGCTTGTACTTAATGATGGTGAGAGATGAGGAGGATGAAGGGGAGGTGCATACTCTTTTTCCTGAATGACAAAGCTGGGAGCTGGCGATGGCTTTGGGAATATGGGAAGTCAGTTTTCAGAAAGCTATTGGAGTAAAAGATTGTCATGTTATAAACTTCTAAACCACAGATGAACAGGCTTGAACAAACTGTTAGAACACCTAGTGTTGATTATTGAGAGTGTTTCTGCAGTGTGTGACTTGGCATGGTTCATTCGTGCTGTCCCTGAGAACAGTGACATTTCAGATTAGCAGTATTTTGGGGTTCCACTTGAAAAGAGCCCACCCCTCAGCTGACTGGTGCTGTCCTCTGCTGGGTGATTTAATGGTCAGGCATGCTTGGTGGAGAGGAAGCAGCATCACGGCAAGGCACCTGTACCCATCTGCCAGTTTGGATGAAGTGCCAAATCACAGGGTCAGTAATGCTTCTTGGCCAGAAAACATGAGCTGAGCAGCTGTCCCTGCCTGCTATCCATGAGAGGTCCTCTTACCAATTCAGCCTCAGGGAGGGAGAGAGTCCCCTGTAGTCAGACGGGTATGTGAGTGTCACAGCTAGGGGCAGAGGGAGACCAGGGAACCTGCCCTTAGCCACTCACACAGATATGAATCCAGGAAGCTGAAAGGGAGCTCTTTCAGGCCAGGATGGAGGATACTCCCAGCATCCCCTATGGTCAGATGCATGGGTCCTTGGAGCACTCAGGGACCAGCCTAGGAGAAGAGATGGGAGCTGAACGTGTTATAGTTAAATAATTCCTAGATTGCAGAACATCTCCCAGCTTCATTTTTCTGTTTTGTAAAATGAATATAAATGAGATGAAGGATGCAAAATGCCCATAAACTGAATGGCATTATTTGAGTCTAAGTCATTATTTGCCCTGAAATTTTTGCATTTAACATTTTTGTCAACAATTTGGAGGCAGATACTGGATGCAGGCTTATCAAACATGTACAGAAAATAAAGCTGGGAGGGCTAGCTGAAACACAGCTATAGAGGACTCCAGATTGCAGAATCTGAAAGCTCAACTCTCCCCTGGCTTCCTTCCCCTGGATGCCTTCTCTGTGTGACCCTCAGAAAGCACAGTGCCCCTAACAGAACTCCATTTTTTCGTGGTGTGGCTGCTGCTTCTCTGTAGTGGGCAGAGAGGCCAGGGATACTCCTAAACACCCTACCATGCTCAGGGTTTCTCTGTCTCAGCAGTATTGACGTTGTGGACCAGATCATGGTGTTGTGGGAGCTGTCCACACGGTAGTATGGTAGGATGTTTAGCAGCATTCCTGGCCTCTGCGCTATAGATGTTAGTAGCACTGCTGCTCCTCTCTTTGTGACAAACAAGTGTCCCTGGGGTACAAAACTGTCCCTGGTTAAAACCTCTGCTCTAGATTCATCCTTTGCACTTCCCTGCCTGCATGGTAGCTCCTCTGGTCACGTCAAAGTTCTCATAGTTCCTTAAATAAACAAAACTTTTCCACATCTTTCCCAGAACTTTGCATGCACAGATCCCTTCCCACTCCTGCCTTTGCCACTTCATAAAATCCTGTGTATCCTTGAAAACTCATCCGAAGCATCCCTTCCTTGCAGACGCCACCCCAGATGCTCCCGGACAGCTAGTGCACTCACAGCAAAGTTCTCCTGGAGCCCTGAGTGCATGGATTTAATTTTTCTTTTTGCTTGTGATGGTCTCTCCCACTGGACTATAAGCTTCTTGAGGGTAAGTCCTGGATCTTTCTCACCTTTGCTCCCCAGTGCCTGGGAAGTATGGCCTAGCACAGAGTGGGTGCTTAGTGAATCCACCTTGAGTAACATTGTTTAATGGATCACTACTGGCTGGTCACGGGACATACAATGCTGTAGGCAAAAAGCATATTTTCTGGATCTTAATCATGTAAAGGGTCCAGTACTCCACCCTCAGGTATCAGAGCACCTCATCTCTTTTGCAGAGAAAAAAATAACTTATTTTAATCTCCAGGATGCTAGAGAGGTTTAGAGAAGTTTCCTCCTGCGAAAACCTTTTTCAGGCTCTGCCTTTGAGAAAACACTGAAAGGATAGCAGCAGGTAGCACTTTCTCTTCAAAAGATGCCTGAGGATGGGCACCAATCCCAGCCAACCTTTCTGCCTGTGTTGGGAGCAAGGGGCTCCACCTAGTCTTTCTTGAATACAAATGTGATCCGTCGGGTCCAACAGCAAAGCCCCGCCCTCCACTGCCAGGACTCTGGGCTGCGGGACTTTCTCCAGCTCTCCCCTCTGCATTGTCAAAACGGGAACAGACTGAGCAGAAGGAACGCGTTTGTGCTGAGACCAGAGCCAGGGCAGTACGCAGCAGATCCAGACAATCTGCTCTGCTCCTCCCAAGGAGAGAGGAAAGGCTTTTATTTCTTGCTGACAAGCAAGTCTGCAATGGGAAAATCTCTGGGGGACCAAAGCTAAGCCAAGTGAGAGATGCACGCCCCACACTGGTGTGCCTCACCTGCCTTTATACAGCCAGGCTTCAGTGTGTGTGTGTGTGTGTGTGTGTGTGTGTGTGTTAGGGGTGGTGGTGGTGATGTGCATGCATTAAAAGAAAACTCATGAACTGTCAGACACAAAATATCAAGTGCCCCCACTGCTTGGACACCTTCAGTGACAGGGACTTCTCACCATCTTAACAACTGTTAGACAGCTCTGTCTAGTAGAAAGCTTTTGGTCACTCTGGTGGTTTACCCTTTGGTCCTAAGTCCAATTCTTTGTTCTGTTTAGAATTGGTGCAATCCTTTTTCCCCAGGAAGGATTGTCAGAGGCAACCACTTTACCAGCCAAATCCCTTCTTCTGGCTAGAGACCCAGTTCTTTCAACTCTTTTCCATGTGACACAGTTTTGAGTCTTCTCCCTTCCTGATCACCCTTTTCTCATCAGTGCAATAGGTAATACAATACTTTTGTTTTTTCTGCAGTTCTCAGAGAGTAAGTTATTTGGGGTGGACATGTTTTCCACACAGCTGAAGAGCAACAGAATTTTAAAAAAAAGCACAATGGAAAAATTGTCAGCATGCAGGATACAAGTCCCTTTTAGACTGTGTACATCCCTGCCAGTTCTCTCTCTGACGTTTCTCACTATCTCTGACTTCATCTCTCACTACTTCCTCCCATGTATCTTCTTGCACCTCTTTGTACAACACCTTCCAACAAGATTGGACTCTTGTGCTATTCCTGAAAACACTAGGACCAATGAGAGGAAGCCAGAAGAAGTCACCTGATACCTGGATGCCTGGCACCTGGATACGAGAAGCACCTTCTAATGGCCAAAGAGTTCACCGCTGGGAAGGGTGACACCAGCTGGGGGTGAGCTCTCCACTGTGAAGGTGTGTGGATGGAGGCTTCTGGTAGGGAAGTTCTTGACAGGCCTGGACTTAACAAATCTGCTAGGTACTTGCCGTCTCTTTCAGCCCTGTGATTTTGTGATTGTGGGCAAAGATTCCGTAAGGGCGTGTGTGTGTGTGTGTGTGTGTGTGTGTGTGTGTGTGTGTGTAATGAGGACTCTGGGGTATCCTTTTGACAGCTGTGGGAGGGGGAGCAGAAAGCCATTTCCTTCAGCCGGGCTGCCGTAGGGCTGGCAACTGAGCATGCCTGACTCAGTCCGTGGCTGAGCTGAGCTGCTCAAGAAGAGGGGAGGCACAGTGTGGTGACAGACAGGAAGAAAGAGGGCCTGGTGCAGTCTCCCATGCTGGGGAACTTGCGGGTCAGGAGGATTTTGAGGGCCCATAGGTAAGTGTCTATCCCCGCCCCCCAACTCAGGGGCACAAGCCAGGTCTCTAATTGGTCTGAGTGTGTGGACAGTTCTGAAAAGTGTAGGGCTGGAGCCTGTGACATTATTCTGGAACAATTTGCCAGATTTCTGGACACGAGAGTGGCCACTGGTCTTATCATAAATGTGGGATGTCAGCATTTTCTAAGACTCCTGGAGTCTCAGGTCTGGGAGGACTTCTCCATGTTTCTTGTTCAGCCCCTCAGAAGCTGGCACACCATCACAAGCTATCATCCAGCCTTTTCTGGAACATCTCAGCATTTGATTAAAAGAAGTAACGGATGGAAATTATCTCCCACTGGCAGGTAGATAAACAAATTCCTTCCCTTTTCTTTCCTGTGAGTGACAGAAAGCTCACTGCCTTCTGAGGCAACTCATTCCATCTTTGGATGGCTTTGAGCTGAAGTCTGTTTAGTTGAGTGCACTGCAGGACATATTCTTATCACTCTCATGTTATCTGGGGAATCAGATGTTCTTATTACTATTGCTTATAAGAAATACTACTACTTACAGCCACTGTTAGGTGAGCTCTACCTTGTGCCAGGTACCAGGTTAAGTACTTAACTAAACATGAATGTCAGGTCTATGGAAACTTCAAATCCCACTGGGCCATAGCTGGATGGTCCCCAGAAGTCAATCTAGTTCTCATGTTCCTGGTTAAATCAAAGCTCAGACCCTAAGCCACGAACCTAGATCTGTCATGGATCAATGAAAATAGAGTTTTCCTAAAGGGGGCTGTGGCCACATGGATTTCTGGATACCCCCATTTTCCTGTGGTTTCTGGGAAGCCAGTTCTTCACAAATGTGAAGTTAGTGGCTAGCCCCCTGGGTCACCCAGAGAGCTTACCTAGAATGGCCCCATCCTAGGGCCCCCATCCAAGAGACAAGGTCAAAACTTGAAGTCCAAATGCTGCAGGGGCCAGGAGGGGGTAGATAAGCAAAGCTAAAGCCTTGCTTTTGTGTCTCTCCTGAATTCCCTGGGAGGCACCTATGAAGCAGGAGTCTAAGAGGCAGGAAATATGGTTCTGTATTGAGGCTCTGCCACTTTCTGTGCAGCCAGGTAAGCTATTGCATCTCTCTTGCCTCAGTTTCCTCATCTAAAAATGGATCTAAGAATTGTAGCCACCACTCAGGGCTGTTGTGAGGACGTGGGGGACTCAGCTGGTGACAATTGGTGTCATGATTTCCTTCACTCTAGCCAAGGTGGACCAGGCGAAGTCTGAACAAAAAGAGTTTCTGCAAGGTTCAGGGGAAATGAAAGGACTTCTCTGGCCACCTTAGACAGCAGAGAGGGACAAATGACAGTCTTAGATCAGATTCCCTAGAAGCAGAGCCTGAGGCAAGGATTTAGGTACACGTGATTTACTGGGGGAGTGTTCTTCAGGAAAAACCTGCAAGGGAGAGAGGAAAGGAAGCAGGATAGGAGCAGGGAGAGAGACAAACACAGGCGTGGTCAAGGGCCAGGCTACCAGATAAAATACAGGATGCCCAGGTCAATTTGCATTTCAGATGAACAATGAGTAATTTCTTACTATAAGTATGTTGCAAGTCTTGCATGAGGCCTACTTATACTCAAAACGTATCCTTAGTTTATTTGAAATGCAAATACAGCCGGGTATCTTGTATTTTTATTTGCTAAATCTGGTAACCCAGTCTAAGCTAGTCAATCAGCCCCATTTGCCCAAAACTGATGGGATACGGGAATTTCAGTGTAAAACTGAAATTCAGGCTGGTCATCATAAACTGTGATCTCAGGGAAAGCCAGCCTTGGCCTGATCCTTGGAGAGGGGGTAGAAGTGGACTGACTCTCTGGAGCCTAAAGCATACCGCAGAGGTGTCCCTTCCTGAGGGGAGGGAACTGCCCTTTTGCATTTCTGTGTCACTTAGTCATTGCCTGTGGTGGCAGTGATTGGGGAGCAGGTATGGGGAGAAAGTTGTAATCTCGTGGAGATGCAGCTTCTGTCTTCTGAGAGCCATTCTCTGGAGAAGGGGGGCATCATTGAGTCATTAGCAGGCAAACAGGTGACATTTAGCAGCTGGGGGCAGGGGGTGTGCATTGGTCCTTAAAAGGGGAGCTGGTGGGACACCGTAGCATCTTCTACACTGTCTGTATCCCTCCAGCCCAGAGGCCCTGCTCCACCCTCAGAAGAGGTGAAAACTAGGCCTGACTCAAATTCCATGGATGAACCGCATATTTCCTCTGATTGTAGGCTGGGTGCCAGGATAACTCCAGCACAGACTGGTCTGAGACGGCTACCACGTTCACAGAGAACACTAAGGACACAGAGAAGAGAGGAGGGGTGAATTATTCCTGACTGGGAGAAAGAGGGCCAGACAAGATTTCACATAGGGAGCAATATCTGAACCTTGAAAGTAGGTGACAGTCTGATGAGGGTTGGGGGTAGAGAGGTGGAGTGGTGGCTGGTGGCTGGTGGCTGATGGGTAGTAGTGGTGAGAAGGGCGTGGCCAAGGTGTGAAGGTCAAAGTCATGGAGGTCAAGGTGTGTAGGTCTTCTCATCAAGTCCTCCAAGAAGCAGGTACAAAGAGCAGGGGCCTCTTTTCCCCAAACTGGCCCCTAAGCCAGGTGAGCATAAGGCCTTCCCAGGCTGCAGATTCTGGGTCAGGTTTTGCCTGCACTGACAAAGCATCTGGTCTCCGCAAAGTGCCTAATGATTTATTTTTTGACCAAGCTAATGCTTTGAAAAACTGCTGGCGGCCCTCCTGACCTGGGGATGCCCGGGCACCTGGGGAACGTCCCAGCTCCTGGCGGGGAGGCCCCGCCACCCAGGCCTGGCCCAGATCCATGGGAAGACAAGCTTCCTTCTCACCTTTCCAGTGTGTCCTGAAACCAGAAGCCCCATGACACTGGCTCCTCTTTCACTGCTCTGGGATTTCGGCTCTGGCCAAGGCAGGAACACCCATGCTGCAGAGAAGCCTGAGAAGCCACTGGGACCAAGATGCAGGGAGGGTCAGCTGGGGAGAGCGATGGGATTCGTCCCAAATCAGTGTCCCCATTTCTGGGCTGAGCTCAGCCTAGCACTGCTAAAGCTCAGCACCCGAGCCTTCCCACTGGCTCTGTAATTTCTTTTCAGCCCCTTGCTGAGGGACACAGGGCTATTGTGACTTTATTTCAACCACTTACTTGCTGTGTGACCTTGTACATGTCACCTGGCCTTCCTGAGCCCTCTCTCACATCCTCACTAAGGATGAAAACATCAGCACTAGTGACTAGCAGTCTTGTCGCGTTTGCCAGCTTTCAAAGCAGCACACTCACATGCATTCTCTAATTGCAACATCTCTGCAAATTGTGAAGTGGGTGAGTGGGCAAGGGACATTATTATCTCTATTTTAGGGATGAATGTGACTTGGCCTCATGTTACAGCTGCTAGACTCCTGGGCTCAGGACCCCTGACACTAGGACACGAAGAAGACAATAATCTCTTATCAGAGTCTCCAGGAAATGTCTGAACCAGAATCTGCAATTTTAAAGGCTTGAATATGGGGACTCAGGGGGCATTTGGTTCCCACATGTTTAATGACACTTTCAGAAACTAGGCTACAGAGGGAAGTACATCCTACGATGGGCTCTGTATTCTGTTTCCAGCACAGTCTGATGTGGATTCAAATCTCAGCTCTCCTCTCTCAAAAATGCAGTAAGCTATAATCCAAATTGACTGTTGGGAGGAAAAACATGGGATTTGACAACATGGGGTTTCTCTGGGACCCTTTAGTGCCCACAAGGCCTTTTCTGGTGTCCTTTTTAGATTCTGACATGTCTGTATTTCAGATGACTCATCAACTGAAGAAGTAGACCAAGGAAGTGCAGATGGGGTTCTGAGGTGGGAAAGGTCTCTTCTCATTGGGGTGGGAGGGTGAGGAGAGGAGCAGAACGAGGGAAAGAAAATAACAGAAACAGTGTTAATGAAGATTGCTGATTTTTTAGAGAGCCGAAAAAGTAACAATGGGGGAGGTCTGAGATTTGGGGCCAGCATGCAGTTGGTAGCCAGACACATAGATTTAAGTCCCAGCACAGCCACTTACCAGCTAAGTGAGGCCAGTCCCGGATCTCTGTGGGCCTCAATCTCCTCACCTGAAACCTGGTGCAGGCAGGACCACCCCTTCGCTCCGTTGTCAAGGTCCAGATGTCCCTGGTGTCCAACAGGGCTTGACTACAGCAGGCACTTAATATGTGCTAACTCCGTGCATCCCCCCTCCTTTTTCCTAAGTGGATTATGAATCTAGGAAATATGAAACCTCCTTTCACCCAAACAAAAACTCTGTCATCTTAGACAAATCTGATAAAATTAATATTTAAGTTGAAAAAGTGTTCTGCATGAATGATGACCCCATTGACTTATTTTCCTCTGACCTTGCTCACCACCCCTTCCCCAACACACACACACACACACACACACACACACACACACACACACACACACACACACTCTCCTCTCCCACCAATAAAACTAGACTGGCATGAGGAGAAAAGGCCAGGCTGTCATGATCCCAGCATCCTGCCCACATAAACTTGGAGGCAGAACAGGCCCATATGGAGCCTCTGGGGACTGGGGTCTCTGCTGGTCCCCACAGTAGGTGCCAAGAACAGTTCACAGCCCAGCACGTGGCCGCACTGCCCACTCTGCTCCGTGAGGACAGGGCCTCGCTGTCCCCTGAAGGACTCTGGCAAAATAGCCTGCCAAAGACCTCAATCTGATTAAAGAAAGGAAGGACATTGGAGAAAGGAAGAAATAAACGAAAGAAAAATGATGGAGAGAAGGGGAGAGAGAGAAGGAGAGAGGCCCGGTACAAGTGTGAAATCAGAAGAACAGACTGAGGATGGTGAGATGCATGTGAACAGTGTGACGTGGGCAACCCCCACAAATAGACCTTCTGTTAAAAATAGCCTTTGTCTAAATGTGGAAAGGGTGTAAATATAGTAGCGGTTTCGGCTTACTACGGAGCCGCCCCTGCTCCAAGTAACAGAGGCTTATTATAGGAAGCGTGCGTCAGCAGCGGGAGGGGAGGAGAGGGATAGAGAAGCCCCGGGCCGTGGGTACAGTACCCCCCAGCAGGAGGGGGGTCAGCCAGCCAGCGTAGCCCTATTGGGGGCAAGCGGCCCGGATGGCTCTGAAACGCTCTCACAGAGTTCCTCTGGGCAGAAAACTCTAGCCGAGCTGTGGGAGGAAAGGAGGAAGGAAGGGATCGCTGTGCTGAAAAGGATCTAGCCTTGTCTCGGCGATGCCGCTCACTTTCATCTGGGATTTCAGCAGGCATTGCGTCCTGTGTGCAGCAGGCTGCTCGCTCCTGGACACCGCAGGAAGTTTTCAAAGGAACCCCCTGGAACGACCAGCCTGCAGGCAAGCCGGTTTCCTCAGCCCTGAGCACAGAGGACAAACGTCTAGAAAATCAGTGGAAAGTGCCGGAAAGGAGTTTGATTCAAGTTTTTTGTTTTTGTTTTTGTTTTTAAGACCGGGTTTTCATGTCTGTGTCTCTGGTATCACGTGCTAAGTAGGTGCCTGGGGCACAGTGGCGGGACTCCTGAGCTGGACAGCTGGGAGTTGCTGCAGGCGCTGCCTTCCAGTATGATGCATGACCAAGGCAACAAAACTGTTTTGGGAAGCTCACTGCTCTGCTTTCTGCAGCTACAGAGATGGCCAAGGGTTGAGTGCCCATGTGGGTGTTAAGACCTACTCCTGCCTGTGTGTCTCCCCTCCAAGCCTTTGGGGGCCCTCATTATCCCCTAGTCTGTCACCCTTTAACCCAGTGCCCTCTCCTCCCAGCCCAGGACATGTGCATGCATGCATCACTATCCACACATACGCCCAACACACATACATGCACTCATGCACACCCACATTCAATTCGGGCCCTGCGGCCCTTTCCAGCAGTAGCCCTCACACTAGCGGCCCTGGCGTCCCACCCTGGCCCTGCGCTCTCATGGAGTCCCTTCATCTGCTCTGCCCCTGCCCTCTGGCTCATCACTAGCCTTGAGCTTGCCTCTTGGATGTAAGGCAAACCTGGCTCCTCCAAGTGGATCTGCACTTCTCCTCGGATATGATTTGGGCTTGTGTGCTTGTGCTGCCCCTCAAGCCAGCCTGGGTGACCGCCTCACTGCTCACGCCCCAGACTGAATGCCAATGCCCTTATCATGTTTCACTGACCTGCTCCTCAGGACTGATCTTCAACCTGTCAGCTACTCCCCAGCATCATCCAAACTGCTCTGAAAACCACCTTTCCAAAATGCAGAGCCAGCAGTGTCACTGCCCCACTCAAAATGCTCTCAACAGCTCCCCACTGCCTGTAAGATAAAGTCCAAACCTTGGAAGGCCCGACTTGACCCCCATCTGCTTTTCCAGCTGTGTCACCTGCTACCCTACCCTATCCTATACGGTGCCTACACAGGGTCTGAAGGTGGGTGATTACACTCGGGAATCTCCCCCTTCATGCCTTTGCAGGGACCATGCTGTTTCCTTAGGCTACAATACTTCTCCTCCAAGTCTCTGCACATCAGGATCCTACCCATCCTTCAGGGCCCCAGTTCCAGAAGGCTGCCCACTTCTTCTAGGAAGCCTTCTTGGATCTATCTCCCCTCCCACAGCAACTACCTTTTATTTTTTTTTTCACTCCTTCTGCAAACCCAAGTCATTTTTGTATATTTGGAAAATGAATCAAGAGGCCCACTACTGCATCTGGGTGTGGTGCCCTCCCCTGCCTTCCAACAGAGCCTGCAAGTCCCTCCACCACCAGAATGCTTGTTACTCTGTGTTGGAGTTGCCTGTTTATCCAACGGTCTCCCCACTGGAGTCTAACTTCTTAGGGAAGGGTCTGGATGACCTTGTTCAGGCCATATCCCCAGTGCCTAGCACAGCACCAGGCTTATTACACTAAATGAACTGGGCCTCCAGGGCTGTATACTTCTGCTATGTAGTGAATGTTTGCATTCCTCCCAAATTTATGTTGAAACCCTAATCCCCAGAGTAATAGTTTTTGGAGATGGGGCCTTTGGGAGGTAATGAGGTGATGAGGACAGGACCCTCGTGGTGGGATTAGTGCCTGTATAAAGAGCGACAGGAGAGAGTGTGCTTCCTCTCTCTGCTCTCCGCCATGTAAAGACACAGCAAGGAGATGTCAAGCCAGGGCCCTCCCCAGAATCCAACCATGCTGGCACACTCAACATGCACTTCCCAGCTCCAGAACCATGAGAACTAAATTTCTGTGATTTCATCTACCCAGCCTAGAGTATTTGTTATAGCGGCTGGAGCTGACAAAGACAACTTCCTTACCTTTTCCAGATGTTCCCATCTGTTTTCAGGCCCCTCTGCTATTTTCTGCTGACCCTGCCATTGGCGCTGATACTGGTGCAAGAGCCACTTGGGTACAATCCTGAGATGATGGGCTTGGAGTCAGAAGAACTAGGTGAGAGTTTCAGCTGTGCCTCTTACCTGCCTGCCAGTGGGCAATTCATTTTTCCTCTCCCAACAGTCTTCTCAGCCATGAAAAGAAGTGACAGCAGTCACTGCATGGGGTTGCTGTGAGGACTAAGTGAGAGTGTGGAGCTGAAATCCTCTGACAAACTGTGCAGTGCTCTTCAGATGTCGGGACCTTTGTTGCAGCCCTCACCTACTCTCCACCTCGGCTGTGCTTTGGAAACCTGCCCAGGCACCAGCTATGTCGACTCCCGCTGCCATTCAGGCCCATAAGGATATCCCAGAAAATAATTTTGCCACCTCTCTATGTTAACAGCTCGAAATCTCCAGACACTTCTGATTACCAGGATTTTGAGTACATGACGGTTTTCTTCCTCAAAATTCTTAAATAGCAAAAAGGCTTGAATGACAGTCAGGACTGGCAGAAGTTGGACTGTCATTGTGAACCAAGGAAGGAGGCTGCAAAAGGAAATGGGAAGAAAGTGGATATGCTGATAGCCAGGCTGGTGCTCTTCCAGGTAAGTCTACCTGCCCTGGCCCCAGGCGGCCCTGTCCTGGGCTTGGCTGGTCCTGCAGGTTCCCAGGATACAGCAGAACTAGTGGATGGCCTGGAAAGCAAGTATTTAGGCAGATCGTATCTTCTGCCTGGAGAGAATGTGAATACTGTGGAAAGAGCCAGGCCATGAATTCTGCAGAGCCCAGCTCCAGTTCCTATTCTGTCCCCTTACTAACAGGGTACATTGAGCAAGTCTCCTAATCCATTAGACCCTCAGTTCTTCATTGCTAAATAGAAATCATTTTGATGAGAATCAAAATCAAATGTGACCATTTATGAAAATTGTATGCATAGTACCTGTGATCAATAAATGGCAATTGAAACTAATTCTAAATCTATTTCTCCAGACTAGTATTTCATGCTGCTAGGAAACAAGCAAAGACAAGTGATTTAGAAAACTAAGGTGCTGGGGTAGATATTTTTTCTTTAATACCTCTCAATCAGGACAAAACAATTTCCACCAGTTGGGCTGAAAAACTTGCCATGGGAGCAAGGATTCTGGGGGAAGGCCAAGAAAGTGGATCACTGTTTGATTATACTAGAAGAATAAGAGACTCAAATTGCTTAGGATCTCCAAAATTTGTCTTTGTAGCCCATTAAATAGAAATTCTTACAGCTAGGATACAATATATGTTTTTAGATGACACACATTAATAGGATTACATTTTGTAGTGTGGGGGCTTCTGGCAGAAATACTTTTCACCAGTCACCAATCCATAATCAATCTATACTTCTCCAGCTATATTCCCCTCCCCATCTGAATCTTTTTTCTATATGCACACGTATGTGCTTTCATGCAACACATAGTCATATGAGTAGGTGGGATGGGGGTGGGTGGAAGAAAGGACAAGAGCTGAAACTTTGAAGGAAGACATTTCTGTTCAAACCATGGCTCTACCTTGTGTTATCTGAGTGGCATGTTGGGGAAAACATTTAAGCTGAAACAAGGATTGTGCCTACAAAACTACCTGCTTATCTACCTCAAAGATGGTTGTAAAGATCAAAGATACTGTGTGCAAAATGCTTATGTAGTGCTAATGGGCTAATGGTATTGTTGCATAAATTCACAACATGCATACACGTAGATATAAATGCTCATCTATATATACAAATATACTGTTCATATGCGTGCACACTGACAAAGAAGCATGCATTCCTACATACACGCACATTCAAATGCAGAATGGAACAATGCCTGTGCACCTTTGCTACATAATCTAATTGAGATGTAGAAAATATATTTTTTTCCTAGGGGTGGTATTCTAAGACATCATTGAACCTGAGTTCCTATAATGTTCTGGGTAAGAGGACCATGGATGTGGGGTACAAGGCTTCTGAAGTAGAGGTGTGGGTCTGAGGCCAAGTACCTGATGTGGATGTTCAAGCAAAAGACATCAGGATTGGGTAGGTGTGGTGGCCATAAGAATATGTCTCCTGAAGAGAGAGTTCAGTTGATCATGGCCTCCAGCTGCTTGCACCCATATTTATGTAGAGGCCACTCTTCCTGTTGGCTGCTTCTAGACAATCAGCAACTGAGTGTGGCAGGGATACTAAGGCAGACCTGTCTCCAAGAAACAGGGAACTTCTCTGATAGGTGACTTTGGCTTGAGGACTCTCTGATGGCCTTGCTATAGGCAGTCTAGGAGCTTCCACCCAAACTTGCTTCCCTCCCTCCTGCACTTAGGTCAGACTTGCATCAAGGTGTGATGGCTCTCCCAGCCTTTCCTCTCTTCTAGCCTCTACCAGCTCCCTCCCCATTTTTATCTCACAGATGTTTCCCCTAGTAAAATCCTCTGTATTGTCCATCCTGTCTTGGTGTCTGCACTGAAGGGGAGTGTAAAATCCCAGGTCACAGAAAGAGCCCAGATAACCTGCACATCCACTCTGTGAGGCAGGGCTTCTGAGCCTTCTTCCAAGGTGAGCGAGTAGGTTTGACAAGCTCTATGACTTTCCCAAGCTCATAAGATTAGAAAGCAGCAGAGCCTGGTCTGGAACCCAAGCTTTCTGATCCCCAAATCCCTGTTCTCTTCTGCTTTGCACTGTCCACTGAGCACTTTCCCAACAGTCTTCACAAGCTTCCTATCATATCCACAATTTTCCCTGTGAAGAGGCAGTGCAAGCTCACCACTCCCATTTTGAAAATGAGAAGCTGAGAGTCAGAAAGGCCAAGTCAATTGCCCAAGGTCATTGGTTAGCAAGTGACAGGGCAGGTATTTCAACCCAATTCTCCTGCCTCCCAACCCAGGTGGGCACCATTTATCACCCTCCATGCTACTTTAGCTCCTGCAAGAAATCTGGGAGTTGCCTGCTCCACCTGCCTGCCACTCCCCACAAATTCAATTTTCCCCCTCTTCCTAGAAGCACAGGCCCTGGGGTCGGGGGGTCCTGGCTGTGCCCAGTATGCAGGGGCCTGGGGTCCAGCCCAGGGATGTGGGGAGAAGCCGCTACTTGCCACAGTTGGAAACCCACTGCTGAGCCTCCTTCCTTTTAGCTTGAAAGTGCTCTAGAGTTTCTGAGCTCACAATGCATCTCTTTGGAAGTCTGCCCTCCCAGGGTTGCCATGGTGACTATTTTGGTACTGCATGCTAGAAAAAGCCGAGGCACCTGCTGGTCACACCACCAAAACTTGTCTCTCTGAAAAATCAGCAGATGGCATTTGTCAGAAATTCCTACTTCTTGATTAATTTGGGAAAAAGAAGAGTGTGTGGCAGTGCTGATATCCTTTAACCTGGACCGGGCGTGTTGGTGTTTCAGGGAGGATGTGAAAAGCTGTGCACAGACCCCATGACCTTCTTCTGAAGTGGTGGGTCATTTAGTTTTCCCAGAGAGGCAAAGAAGTTTGGTGATTTGGAGCCTAGTAAATGAAAACAAGAGAAAGACCATGATGTTGCTTTTGTATTAAGAAGAGTTGAAATTTCAAGGCCAGTTCTGAAGAGGCCTATACCCCACTTCTAGTAACTTCCATGAGTTCTCAAATATGCCTCAGGTTGGGTCCAGCTTTTAATTAGAGGGACGTGTTGAAATCACAAGTTAGATTCAAATCCCAGTTCTGCCACCTATTAATTGTGTGAACTTGGACAGGTCCCTCAGCCCATCTATACCTCAGTTTCCTCATCTGTTAAACAGTGATAATAAAAACATTTACCTCATAAAGTTGTCAAGAGGATTAAATGACATAGCTATTGTTGTTATTGTTATTGACTAGAATTAAATCTAGGCATGGAGAAATTAGCAAGTCCATATGCTCATATAGTTTTACATACAACTTTGCAACTATGCTTCTGAAAGTAAATCAATTAATTTCACTGTCTCAGTCTAAGCAGTGATATTACAGTTGGAGCAACATTAAAAAATACAACAAAAACTTCTGGTGCACATTGTACCATGTGTTTCTACCTTACTCGTTATCTTGTTCTGCTTCCCTTTTCACAGTTTGCAATACTATTTGTTCCCAGTGTTACTTAGCAAACTTTGACTGAACTGGTTCCCTAAGCATGCATTGACTACCACCTCTGAATTTTGGGCCAGGCACTTAAAAGAGTTTTCTGCAGAAGGAATTATGTAGTTTACTGCTTTTCTTTCACCTGTTGGTTCTCTATGAGGAATGAGCCTCAAGTTCCCCACTGGCAATTTTGTTCTATCACAAGTCCTGGTAAGTCCTGGCTGACAAATTCTGGGTACTCTCCTTTCCTGTGGCCATATCAGACATTGCTAATCAATCAGCATTCTTCTTGCTGAATTTTGAAGAACCTGGGAACCTTCCAGAAGTCAGTGCTCAAGGTAGCCACTGCTAATTGATCAGAGGGCAGAAAAGGAAATGTATTTGTCATCCTCATTGTAGGGGAAAAAACCCAGGAATGGATTAATTCTAATCCCAGTTCTGCCTTTAACTAGCTGTATGAACTTGAACGAATCATTTCCTTCTCTGGGGCTCAGTTTCTATATTTGGAACAAGTTGAATAATCTTTAATTCTTTCTAGTTCTCAGTCTCCACACTTTACCATGCTCCCTATTCCCCGCCACATGTACACACATTCTCCCATCAGGTGGGCTCCCAGCACCCAACGCAGGCTCTGATCTGTTCCTTTTCTGGGACTTATCCAAATGATCAGATTTTATCAAACATCCTGGGATGGCCAAGGGCCAAAGAAAACATTTTCAGATGCTTAGAATTACCAAATCACAGCATTTCTGCTATGAAAGTTGCCTTAGAGCACAATGAGCTGAATCCTCCATGTTAAAGACGAGCAAACTAGAAAAAGAGAAGTTCAGTGACTTCCTTGAGGTCACACAGCAAGTCAGCAGGTTGATTTGGCCCCTGTTTGGGGACCCATCCAATCTGAGGCCAGGCATTGTCCTGAATCTTGAGAAAGTTCATAAGGATCCTAGCTAAGAGCAAGCCAGAGAAGATGCTGGCCACCTGGGTGCTCTGAAAGCCTGAAGGGTCCTGGTGGGATGGGGGCTGCACACAGCTGGAAGTGGCTGAGGAACACTTGCTGGGGGTCCAAGCCTGTACAATGTGACTTGAGGAAGTCTTGGCCCCTGTCTGGGCCTCTGGTCTCAGCTGTATAAAGAGGTGGATTGTACAATCACTGGTCCTCAAGCCAGGCTAAGCAGCACAATACTTGGAAAGCTGACGACAACAACAACAAAATGCAGTCTAGATGCCACAGCCCTAAAGATTTCAATTCCATTGGTCTAAGTAGGCTTCCATATCTGTACTTGTATAAAAAGCCTCATTGGTGGTTTGAATCTATAGCCAGGTACAGTGAGTTGAATGGTTACCCTCCTCCGGAAAAAAAAAAAAAAGTACCATGTCCTAATCCCCAGAACCTGTGACTATTACCTTATATGGAAAAAGGATCTTTGCAGATGTGAAGGATCTTGATATGAAGAAGATCATCCCAAATTATCTGGTGGGCTCTAAATCCAGTGCCAATGTCCTTATAAATGTAAGGCAGAATGAGATTTAGCACAGAGAGGGAGGAGAAGGAGGCACTGTGATCAGAGAGGCAGAGATTGGAGCAATTTGGCCACAAATCGAAGAATGTCTACAGCTCCGGAGCTGGAAGAGGCAAAAAATGGATTGTCCCCTACAGCCTCCAGAGGGAGGGCAGCACTGCCAACACCTTGATTCTGGACTTCTTGTCTCCAGAAATGTAAAACAATAAATTTCTGTTGTTTTCAGTCACTCAGTCACGTGCCCTGGGCTTTATGAATCAGATATGCCCAGGGAAGAGTGTAGTTTAGAAGTGGACCAGGAGGAAGGGGGCTGCCCAGAACCCACCTTTTGGCCCAAGCAGCCCTGGAGACCTGCAGCTTTGTGGGTGTCAGAGCCTGAGGTTCTGGTGCTGCTGAGAGCTCAGCATCATTCGTGAAAGCCGTAGAGTCTATGCCAAGGTGGGGTCTTCAAAGGTGTGATCTCACTGCGTGGTTTGGGCACTTTTTCTGGCTGGCTACCTTTAAGCTGGACTCTTTGGCTATCCTGGAGATTCCTTTGAAAGGAAAGGGAATTCTAAATGTAAACGCCACCTCACAGACACTTGTTAAGTGTCTCTTCTCCTCCTCCCTCCTGCCTCTCTCCTCTGCCACGTCTGTCAAACTCCTCAGGGCAGTGCATCATTCTAAGCATTGTGGGACCCGTGAACAGGGATATATTGGATCTAAGTTCCCACAAAATGGCACTGATTGTTTGAAGATGCTTAGAGTCCCTGCTCCTCTGTGGGAAGGGGTGAGACTCTCCAGGATTGCTGAAGGCTGCCAAGGTAGAGTCAGGGAAGGTGCAGATATTCCTTCAGCTCCTCTCCTCTCACCTGCCCTGTTCTAGAGTTTAAATTTCAGTAAGAATAAGTAGGGGAATTTTCACTGGCTCATGTGTGAACTTGAATGTAAAAATCGACTGCAGGCTGGGCACGGAGGCTCACGCCTGTAATCCCAGCACTTTGGGAGGCTGAGGCAGGTGGATCACTTGAAGTCAGGAGTTCGAGACCAGCCTGGCCAACATGGTGAAACCCCATCTCTACTAAAAATGCAAAAATTAGCCAGGCATAGTGGCAGGCGCCTGTAGTCCCAGCTACTTGGGAGGCTGAGGCAGGAGAATTGCTTGAACCGGAAGGCGGAGTTTGCAGTGAGCCGAGCCAAGATGGCGCCACTGTACTCCAGCCTGGGCGACAGAGAGACTCCGTCTCAAAAAAAAAAAAAGAAAAAAAAAAAAAACAGATTGCATTTATTTCCAAGCTGACTGCCCTGTTGTTTCCCTAGACACCTCTTTGGAAAGGTTTGTGCTTTGCAGCAAGCTCACTTGTTCTGAAGGACCTTCAATGCAATGGCAAAGTGGTTATGGATAATCCAAAAACAAATGAGCAAAAAGGGTAGGAGGAGAAACAAAGAGCAGCATTAGCAAAGGAGAGGTGAAAGACATCTGGTGTTAGTCCTCCTTACCCAAACTCCACAAACGGCCATTGTCTGTACAAGTCATCTGGCCATGAACCCCTGACCAGTGGGGGTAGTGTGGGGGGGTGGCAGTGGTGGTGGTAGAGGGAGCAGGGACTCAGACAGACCTGAGTTCAGGGACCAACTCTGGCTTCTGCATCAGATATGAAATCCAGGCCATTTAGGCAGATTCTCCTTCCTCTCTGAGCCTCGATTTTAAAATTTCTTATATTTTATGTATACCCAGTCTGCCTTGTATTGTTATTATTTGCAGTCATTGTGTTCTAAAAAGCCTCCGGGAACACTGCACTGGCAGATACTGAACCACTGCTCAAAGGGGAAATAACAGGGTTAGGTTCCAGTGAGCCTCTGGTTACAATTCTGTCAATAATAAAACCTAATAATGTGTGCGTTTCTGTTTAAAGACATCTTATTTAATATTATTGCTGATTCATTGACATTGAACTCACCTGTTTAAAGATAGCTTATTTAATATTACTGCTGATTCATCGACACTGAACTCATGGCCAGCAGCACTGTAACTGACGCCTGAACGAAGCGTTTCTACCACAGCTGTTTTCTCTGTAAGGAGCATCACAGCCTCCCTGGGCTTACTTCAGTGCTATGCTGGGGGACCATTTGAAACAGTGAAATACCAAACAAAAAAGCACAAAAATGTGAAAAATGTGGTACCGAGTAGACCACAAAAGGACACTTGTTTATAGTGTGAGAGCTGAAACAAGGAGGCAGAGTGTCGCCTTGTTTGACCTCAGCTGGGAATGTGCACATTGGGTGGCTGCAATTTTTTGCCATTCTGCTCACAGCAAAAGTGCTGCATGTATTGATTTGGGGGTTAAAAATTAATCTTAATGAGTAGGCAGATTTGCAAATATAGAAATTATGATTAATGTAAACTGTATATAAATATAAATATATATTCAGTTGACTTTTGAACAACACAGATTTGAACTGTGCGGGAAACTTAAACAGATTTTCTTCCACCTCTGTTACCTCTGAGACAGCAAGATCAATCCTTTCTCTTCCTCCTCCTCCTCAGCCTATGCAATGTAAAGATGATGAGGACGAAGACCTTCATAATGATCCACTTCCACTTACTGAATAGTAAATAGCTGTTCTCTTCCTTATGATTTCCTTAGTGAAGTCTTTTTACTCCATGTTACTTTATTGTAAGAATCAGCACATAATACATACAACACATAAAATATGTGTTAATTGAGCATTTATATTATGGGTAAGGCTTCCAGTCAACAGTGGGCTATTAGCAATTAAGTTTTGGGGTTCAAAAGTGGGGATTTTCGGCTGCGTGGGGTGTCAGCACCACCAAGCCCCACATTGTTCAAGGGTCAACTGTATCGCTACTTACCTCACATAGTTTTTGTCAGGACCAAATGCATAGGGAGAAGACATCTTCTACCAGAAGGCACTGTAGAAGTGAGTGTAATGGTTATGTAACATACCAGCCTGGTGGATCCCTTCTCAGCTCAAGAGTCACCCCCACCAGAAAGTCTTGCACCAAAGGCCAGGACCTAACTGTAAATACAAGCTATAACCAGATTCTGAGTTGCCTAGATGGGGAGGAAGGAGAAGAAGGTCAAGAGGAAAACTTGTTTGCTGCATTCAACTTCTCAGATCATTTAGGAGCCTAGTTGCAAGGGCTCAATTCAATTTGTTGCTTGGCAACGTCAGGATTTGCATCCAGGATCTTTGATGCAAGAGTTAGCAGCCTTAATCCCTAGAATATATGACTATTAATTTAATCACATAATCATTGAAATAAAAACACATCACTTAAAAATTCTTGGAGAGAACTCATGAACCCCTGAGAATACATGTATGCACTTCCCCCCATCAATCTACTTGGAGAAACATCACTTTACTAGAGTCCCTCTAAAGATTGCTAAAGTCGTAAACTCCTTTTCCTGCTCCTTTTTTTTTTTTTCTTTTTGAGATGGAGTCTCACTTTGTTGCCCAGGCTGGAGTGCAATGGCGTGATCTCGGTTCACTGCAACCTCTGCCTCCCAGGTTCAAGTGATTCTCTCACTTCAGCCTCCCGAGTAGCTGGGATTATAGGCACCCGCCATCATGCCTGGCTAATTTTTGTATTTTTAGTTGAGGCGGGGTTTCACCATGTTGGCCAGGGTGGTCTTGAACTCCTGACCTCTGGCAATCCACCTGGCTTGGCCTCCCAAAGTGCTGAGATTACAGGCATGAGCCACTGCTCCTGGCCTCCCTGCTCCCTTTACACCCTCACCCTAGAAGAAGATAGTGACATAGCATCTGCAAAATGACACAAGATGGCAGCTGCATGGGATGAAGACTTCTTGTTGCAGGATGGTTTGAGTTGGGAATGAGCTGGCTCCAGGAGGATGAGGATGGAGACATGGACCAGGAGCCGGCCAAGCATCAACAGAGAACAGCAAAGAGGCTCCCGAGGTGGAGATGCTCCTTGCTGGCCTCACCCCAGCCCCATTTCCCCTCCGCTGCCTGTGAGTTTATGAACAGATGGGTTCTCTGTGCAAAGGCAGTAGTTCTTACAATGAGTAACCTGAGGAATTCATTCATTCCACAAACATTCAGCAAACATCCACTGTATTCCAGGATTTGTACAAATGCCTGGCCATACCAAAATTAGTATTAGAGGACAGTCACATCTTATTTACTTTAGAAGAGACAGTTGGACCCAGGGGTTGCAAATGCGTATTCTGGAGCCTGGCTGGCTGACCACCTGGATTAAAGTCCCTGTGTTATTTGGGCAAGTTGTTTAACCTTTTTGTGCCTCAGTTTTCTCATGGAGCAAATCCTAGTACTTACCCATGGAATTGATATGGCATTAAATGAAATGGGTTAATGCATGTAAAGGTTTCTACCAGTACCTGCCATGTAATAAGCACACATTAAATATTAGCTGTTATTAACTTAAGTGGGCCAATCCTATTCATGTGACAGGGAGGAGAGACTGGGAAAGAGAGAGAGAGAAGAGAGGTATATCATTTTGAGAGCATGTAAGATGGGATTTTGAAGAATCATATTGATTATGTATGGTTTCTACCTTGTGAACTTACTTCCGAAATTAACTCCTACATAGAGCAATCCCACGGTATTACTATTACTAGTAGTGGCAAATATTTATTGTGTCATGTATATACCAGGCCACAGTGCTAAGTGCTTTACATATATTATTTGCTTTAATTCACACAATAATCAGTACCAATATTATTTACATTTTCAGATGAGGAAATTGAAGTATAGAGCAGTGAAACAACTTGTCCTAAGTTGCAACTGACACATGGCTGGGTGGAAAGCTGAGCTCAGGTTTTATTAGTATAAGTGCTGTGTCTCACCCAGTAAGCTATACTGTCCTTGGGAATTCACAGCTTGGTGGGGCAGCTGGCCATTTTAAACAAATAATTGCAACAATTTAGAAAAGCGCTAGAAGAGGTGACATTGTAATTAAGCTTTTTACAACCTGTCCTCTCCCCTTCCCTCTCTTGTTGGTGCCTAGATGGCAGGAACCAGATCTTACCCATCTTGGTTGGCCTTGCACAGGCAAGGTGTTCGGTAAATATTTGCTGGTTTGGTTTGATTCAAGTGAGATAGAGCAGCTCTTTCAGATGGTGCTAGGTATCTGAGCTAATGATTTCTCTAGTGTGGATTACAAGCCCTAAGGGGATGTTATTATTTCTGAAGTTGGCGCCAGAAATGACAGTCTCTGTTTCAGGAGGTAATCCTCAAAATAGGAATGATGTACAATGCAGGCAAGTTTCCTAAATGTAGGCTCCTTTAGTTTCTGGGTCATTTACAACTGGCTACCTTGGACTCTTGTATATTCCAAAAAGTTCCTGGCTGTTCTGTCTCTCTTAGTAATAAATTGAAAGTCCAAAATAAGAAGGCAGATTGTGTTTTTGCAATGAAAACCCCACGGGCTACATTTCATATGTAATAGCTTACTCTTTGCCAATCTGACCTTCTCCTCCAATCCCCAAGCTCATCCCACCTCTGCTTGGACACACCCAAGAGATCACCACCATTCATCCATCTTTGGGAAGTTCTATGCCTCAGGAAGGGTCCTCTGACTAAGTGAAAGCTGCTTTGCTAGAGCTTCTTCCACCCATCCTGCCTCCCCAACCCAGGCCCATGCAAGCATCCTTCATCTTCCTTTGCCTCAAAACAGCTCTTTAGAGAAGAAATATTCACCTCTACCCCATATCCATAGTTCCTTTAACCATTAACTAGAGAGTGTTATTTCCACCCCTTTGGCAACCTGGATATAAGTGACGCTCAGAACACAGTACTCTAGACATGGTTTAAATAGCTCAGTAAACTTGGACATCTGAACATTGCACTTTAAAACGGCATTCTTATTTCTATAGCCACAGCCCACCTTTGATGGATCTTGAATGTACAGTGAACTGGATCCCATAGTTCTTTCTCTTTCTATTGCTATCAAAAAAGATCACCAGTGCCCCACAACAAATAAGCATCAGTCTCAGGACTCTGAGAACCAGTGGGAAACTGCCACGAACAGGGAGAGGAGAGTTCAAAAGCACAGAGGTGATTCTCTCCTCCTTGCACAAGACCTGGGATAGACAAGCTGGATTCACATCATGAGGCCAGGCCACAGGAGAACACGCAGATGTAAGCAGCCCCAGAGAAAGGACACTGGCTCAGGATTAGGAGATCTGAGTTTTGCTATGGATTGAATTGTGTCTCCTTCCACCCACTGCCCTGCCCAAATCCATAAGTTGATGCCCTAACCCCCAGTGTGACTATATTTGGAAATAGGGCCCTAAGGAGGTAATTAAAGTTAAATGAGCTCATAAGTTGGGCCTCTAACACCATATGATTAGTGTCCTTTTAACAAGAGGCATCAGAGAGCTCACAAGATCTTTCACTCCCCATCATGCGAGGTCACAGTGAGAAGGTGGCTGTCCACAAGCCAGGAAGAGAGTCCTCATCAAAAACCAACTCTGCTAGACCCTGATCTGGGACTTCTGGTCTCCGGAACTGTGAAAAAATAGATTTCGGCGTTTAAACCAGTTTTTGGTATTGTGTTACAGCAGCCCGAGTAGAAAAATTCTGGTTTGAAGCACATAAATCCACTTCTTGTGAAATAGAGATACCAACACCTGCTCTGCTCACAGGAAGAGACGTGCGGGGACATATACTGGGTGACCTCCAGTCCCACCTCATTAGGTCATATGGACAAGAAACAGCAGTCTGACGTCAGAAAGCAATGACAAACTACATACATTTTTACAGAGGTCTCTTTTATATGGACACAACCTATGTATCTTCCCACAGTTGCCCACACTTTCATATCTACACCATTTCTCTCATCTGGAAATTCTCTTTTTTCCCCTTCTCTCTTCCACAACTTGTAAACCAAATTCCTTGAAGGGGAGGAGGGCCAGCAGAAGAAAACCAAACTCTTGGTTTCTGATCTGCTTTCTGGTGCTCCCCTTTAGTGGCCACATTGACTCCATTCTTCCAAGAGCTCCTTCAAAAGTTCTCAAAGGCATCTCAAATATATGTTCTGGTGGGGAAAGACTGTGTCTATAAAGCAGTGTTTACACAACTGAGCAAGTTAGCTCTTCTACCCCTCCTACCCCTCCATTCACACTGCAGGAGCCTGCAAACAAAAGTCTGGTTCAAATCCCATCTCAGTCACTTGCTACCCAAGTGACCCTGGGCAAGTCATGTTACCTCTCAGAACCTCAGTTTTACCATCTGCAAAATGGGATGATATCCCTGTCAAGGCTTTGAAAAGATTAACTTTGGAAAGATAATGAATATAAGGTATCTAGTAAGTGCCAGGAAACAATATACTCCTTCCATAGCAAGTTACATGCAGTCGACATCATGCTGGGGCCCAGAGGATGTGCTCCACGACTTAGACTGATTTGTTTCTTGGAAAAATTCCTGAGTAGACGGAGAGACAAGACAAGCACAACAATGTCTCTAATAGAAAGTAGAGCGTGCTGACTGGATAGCACGGGACTGTGAGAGATACTATGCTAGGCAAAGCCCAGAAAGCTGCCTGGAAAGGTGAAGTTTGAAAGGGTCCTTACTGGATGGTCAGAGTTGGCCATAAAGGGAAACAGAAGAAAGAAGCATGGTGCATGTCTAGGGAAAGAGAGTCGCCATACAGAACGAGCAGGAGACAATGCTGGAAAGGGGATGGACAGTCGGCATTCATCTGTTAAAGACTGACCTTCTGGTTCCAGAGTTGGAGCTACAAATACAAACAGGTCCTCTAAATGGACTTTTACACAGATTCACAAGGCCTGAACAAAACACTGTCCAGAAAGTTTTAACACTGCCTCTCATTTCCCTAAGACCAAATAGGAAGAAAGTGGATTCCTAGGCAAGGGGTGTCAGTGTTTCCCAGCCTTTAAGCAGGTTTGGGGCCAATGACTCCAGTGGAAAGTGGAGACAGTCTGACTATATCTAATCCCTGAGGAAAGGGGGCCCTCTGCATTGTCTCCCAGCCCAGGTGGCCTTCCGGTCAGCAGGAGCAATAGTAGCAGGACCAGGTGTCATTGCCGCAGGCTGTTCAGGAGCAGCGGTCACTGGCTGTTTTATGTGACCAGCTGAGCATAGACCTACCTTTTATTGACAGTCATCTCTCATTGAGGCCTGGACTCTCTGGGCTATAGTGACCACCAATTCTTTAGGAATGTATAGCTAGAAGCCTGCCATATCTTTAATGTCTCACACATAGCACTGGCTTCTAAACATAAACAACTAAGGACTTCTGCGTTTATATTTAAAGCCTATCTGCTTCAAGTACTTTGGGATAGTGTTATCTGCTTATGGACTTTGGGTACCAAAAAAGGATTTTCCCTGGGACTCATACCAAGATCTATGAGTGCCAGCTTCAAGCAGCTGAAAGGTCTTTCTGTAGGTTCAGGAGGTGTGTGAGATGTGGGTGGGAAATCTAAGGCCCAGAATGAGGAAGAGAGTAGTGGCAGAAAGACCACTGGGGAGATGGTGGGGTATATCATAATTGCCCAGAGGAAAGTCTAGAGGGGCTAGGTTAGGCTGGGGGCAGAGGAAAGGAGAGATTCAAGAAATGCAATCAAGGATAGACCACGACTCTCCGAGTGTGAGGTGGGTTTCAGCCACCAGGGAAGTTCTTAGGGAGGAGGTGGGGCACCTCTTCCATGGCAGTAAGATGAGGGAGTTCCCTTCCTGTTGATTCTATTTGCTCTGTAAGATAGGAGAGGTCATTCACTGTGTGTTAGATGCTGGGGTGAAGATGGGGAGAAAGGAATGGATGATGTCTGGGAACCCCAGATGAAATGCCTGGGGTGCAGGAATGGAGAATGAAGGCATGGGAGGAGCACGCATTAGGAACTCTTGCAGGAGCAGCTCTCCCTGTTCACACCCTCCACTTCCCTAAGTCTCCTGTAGGAGAAAAGTGCTAAGTACACATTGCTAACCAGACCATAGGGAAAGAGCCTGGGTTGCTCTGGGATCTCAGAAGGCATAAGTGGTTTAAGTCATCACTGCCCCCTGAAAACTGCAAGGTCCACAGCAGGAGGTTGTTGGAAATGATAGATGCGAAATGCTCAGCCAAGGAGCGGCCATGTGTTCGATGTCAATTCAGTTTCTTTTCTTTTCTTTTCTTTTTTTTAGGCATATCCATCTTTAGAATGTTCGAACTGGAAAAGATCATGTAGTCCATGGCACACATTTTGCCACAGGGAAAAGAGGCACATCCATGATAGAACAATGGGTGCTCCAACAGAATGAGCAGGGTCATATGGGAACACTTGCGAAAGACACTTAATCCCAGCCTGGGGACCCTGGGGACCTCCCCAGGGAGGCTTCAAACTCAGATGGCAGGAGCCTGTTCCTGCTGTTAGTCAGTTCCAAGGGCTGTCACCACAGGCAGGGGCAGCCCTCGTGGATGGGGTATGCTGCATCAGCTTCAGCCATGGCCCATGCAGCCTGCCTCACTCACAGCATGCCTGTGTCCCCTGCCCTCCTCCAACCCCCAGGCTCTGGCTCCCTGCTGGGCTTCTCCCGAACATAGGCACACACCCACACTGGCTTCCAGCCGTGGCCGCCCCTGGGAATGATCTTACAGGGTGGAAAGCTCTTAGGATACTTTCCTGGGACTAGAATTTCATTGTGGAAAATCTCCCCAGGCTCCAACCGCTGACTCATCCCTTGAGCCTTGTCCAGGAAATCAGTTTCCCAGATTGCACAAACTCACATGCAGAAAAGCTATCAATATGTTTGCATTTGTATCCATGTTGATCTCCCTTCCTTATTCCTTGATATAATGAGTTATCTAATTATGGTGACATCTGTTGAGGAGGAATCTAGCTTCCCTCTCCCTGCCCAGAACCCAGCAACCCAGCACAGGGCTCTTTTGGGGGAGATCACATGCTGCAGGGTTTGTGTAGGAGAGGCAGAACCCCAACAGAAATCAGCCGTGTCTGCCTCATGGCTTTTGTTATCCCGAGCTACCAGCCACCCGATATCCCAGGCACTTCCTTCAGCGATGGGCAAACCCACAGACTGTGCCAGTGTTACAGCTTTAGGCTCCTTGCCCTCAGGACTCTACTCTCAGCCCAAGGTGACTGAGAAGGAGTCAAGAGAGAAGAAGGAAGAACATGTGCTGGTTGCTTTGCCTTTATCTGGTAACTACACATATAATTTCTTTTAACCCGGAAATAACTGTTCATCGGGTTACCACCACACAACCTGGAAATTAAAGGACCCACGACACCTCCTCTCTCACCTCACCATTCCCCAAAGCCAGACTTTAAGGCTTAACCAACATTTATTCATTCATTCAACAAATATTTGTTTTGCACTTACTAGACGCTAGTGAGTCTTCAGACAAATAAGCCCAATCTTTGGAGAATTTAACATCCAATAACACAAATGATAGCCACACAGGCAGTTGGAGAAGATGCTGAGTGAGACCTAGAAGACAGGGCCATCTGGTCTAGATCTCCCTCTGCCATTGTCTCAAGGCATCTTTAGAAGCCAAAGTTGGCCAGGTTGGTGACTCATGCCTGCAGTCCCAGCATTTTGGGAGGCCAAGGCAGGTAGATCTCGAGGTCAGGAGATCAAGATGATCCTGGCTAATGGGGTGAAACCCCATCTCTACTTAAAATACAAAACATTCGCTGGGCATGGTGGCACACACCTATATTCCCAGCTACTTGGGAGGCCGAGGCAGGAGAATTGCTTGAACCTGGGAGGCGGAGGCTGCAGTGAGCTGAGATCGTGCCACTGTACTCCAGCCTGGGTGACAGAGTGAGACTCCATCTCAAAAAAAAAAAAAAAAAAAAAAGTCAGAGTCTTCACCCTTTACACTGAGCCCCAAAAAGATTTGCAGCAGCACAGCTCACTCTGCCAAACCACTTATTCAGCAGGGTCAGTGACTCCCAAGTGAATTTGTATTCATTTTGCTGGTGCTTCTCATTGTCCTTTTTCCCAGGGACTTCTGAACAGGCCTGGTCCCTGTTTGCAAGCTTCCTGTGTCTTTGGGGCACATGTGGCTCATGTAGATAGAATAATTTTTCTTCTTGATATGTTAGTACTAATTAAAATGAGGAAACAAAGAATCCACCTCTAACTCAAGCTCTCACTATATTTGATAAGATCTTTCTCTACATCCTAGTACTAGGAGTCCTTTGGAAGCATTTTTCAATTAAAGAAATTCTTCCGCTCATTTTTCTAGGAAATTCCAAATGATGTAGTCACCAAAAAACAAGACTCTTGAGAATCTAGTGATTCCCAATAATAGAACTTTAGGACCATATAGGACGTTTAAGATAATTTAATCAAACTTTCTTATTTTGCCAATGGAAAAATGAAGGCACAGAGTTGGGTTTTGAAAATACATGCTGGCCGAGTGTGGTGGCTCACAACTGTAATCCCAACACTTTGGGAGGCCAAGGCGGGTGGATCATGAGGTCAGGAGTTCAAGACCAGCCTGACCAAGATGGTGAAACCCCATCTCTACTAAAAATACAAAAAAATTAGCCAGACATGGTGGCGGGCACCTGTAATCCCAGCTACTCAGAAGGCTGATGCAGAGAATTGCTTGAACCTGAGAGGCAGAGGTTGCAGTGAGCCGTGATTGTGCCTCTGCACTCCAGCCTGGGCAACAAAATGAGAATCCGTCTTAAAAAAAAAAAAAAGAAAGAAAAAGAAAATACATTCTGTAGGATTTGCCCTGTCTTCCTTCCTTCCTTCCTTCCTTCTTTTCCTCCTTCCTTCCTTCCTTCCTTCCTTCCTTTCCTTTCCTTTCCTTTTTTAAGATAGAGTCTTGCTTGGGTGCAGGGGTGCAATCATGGCTCACTGCAGCCTCCACCTTCTGGGCTCAAGAGATCCTCCCACCCCAGCCTCCCGAGTAGCTGGTACCACAAGCACATGCCACCACCCCTGGTTAATTTTTGTATTTTTTGTAGAGACGGAGTTTCACCATGTTGCCTAGGCTGGTCTCAAACTCTGGGCTCAAGTGATCCATCCACCTCGGTCTCCCAAAGTGCTGGAATTCCAGGCATGGGCCATCATGCCCGGCCTTGTCCCATGTTTCTGACTCAAGTTCTTAGGGTCCTGTCATTATCCACATCATTTGTTTTTCTTTCTAAAAATCAGAGTATCCTTGAATACAAATAATACTTTATTTGCAGCACCATAGTTAAATCCCATTCCAAAGATTACATTCATTCATTAATTTGATCATTTATTTATTAACTTCACAAATACTTATTGAGCACATACTATGTGAATGCATTTTACTACTCACTGGGGAAAATGAAAAATGAATCAGGTACAGTTCTTGCCTTCAAAGGCTCAAATCTATTATAGCAGATAAGATATGGGCACACATAGCATAAACATAGTAGTAACAGTAAAATTGATAATGATGATAATAGCCATTGCTTATATAGAGCTCACTATATTCCAGGAAGTGTTTTAAATATATCACATATTTTAATATATTAAATCCTTACAGTGACCTTACGAGAAAAGTATTATTGTTATCCTCCATTTTGCTAATGAGGAACAGAGGCCCAAGAAGGCTAAGGGACTTGTCAAAGGCCACAGAGCTAGCGAGTGGCAGAGCTGTGATTCAGTTCTAGGCAGCCCAGTGCTAAGATAAAAAGTAATCATTGTAATTAGAGGGGAACATTGCCTAGGCTACTCTCGAACTCCTGGGCTCAAGTGATCCTCCTGGCTTACCTTCCCAAAGAGCTGAGATTACAGGCGTAAGCCACCACCCACACCTGGCCCCAAACTGGCTTTCGAGGCTGTCCACAGTCCAGACTTGCATATCCAACCTACCTCTCCTCAAGGAAAATACTTTCTCTAACTGGGTTCTTCAGAATTCAGGAGCACATCCCACTCTTGGCCAATCCCACACCTTGGCTCACCAAGTCCCAGAAAATGACTCATGCTTTTATCTGTCTCCACCTACTCCCTCCAGCCAGCCCAAGCTAACCTGTCTCCTTACAACTCTTTCAGTCTTGCCACTCATTTAATCCTGCCCTGACCTGTGTGCTTCCCCACACCCAGCATTATGATGGGTCCTCGATCCTGTCTCCTGCAGAACTGCAGCAGCCTCCTTGATTTCCATGGAATGTCTGGAGTGTCATTCCCGGGCCTCTGCAGAGATGATTATTTTATTTCGATGTGTTTTTGTTGGCAGCAGTCTGATGCATCATCACACATCCAACTCAATGTGTGATGTGCATCATACAGTGCTCTTACAAGAGGAGTAAACAGTGAGACGAGCAAGCGGCTGTTATTTGTCTCAAAATGTCTTCATTCTGAGAATTGCAGACTGCAGATAAGAGCTGTCAATCAGCAGTCATGAACATTGTTAAAACTAGCGAAGACTCTTTTCAAACTTCTATAAAGAAGAAAATCCAAACTCCTTAGCCAAGCCCTTATAATCAAGGTCTCCCAAGAGCTTATTCTTTAATCAATTAATTAATTCAATAAATATTTATGGATTGCCTACCATGTGCCAGGCACATTAGTAGTTGCTCCAGAGAGTATTGAACAAAAAAGACAAAATCCTTACTCTCCTGGAGCTGGCATTTTAGGAAGTGGACAGCAAATGCTTAAACTAGGGGTTGGCAGATTATGGCCTATAGGTCAAATCCATCTTGCCACCTACTTTTGTAAATAAAGTTTTATTGGAACACAGCCATGCTCATTTATTTTACTTACTGTCTATGGCTGGTTTTACACCACAATGGTAGAGTTAGTAGTTGTGACGGCAACCGTATGGCCTGCAAAGCCTAAAATATTTACCATCTGGCCCTTTATAAGACAAGTTTGCCAACCTATGGCCCAGAAAAAATAAGCATAAAATATGTCAGGTGACGATTCGTGTCATGAAGAAAAATAAACAGGTGTGGAGATTAAAATGATGAAAGGTGTTTCTAGAGATTTGCACGCCAATAACATGACCATGAATAAAAGAGCCAAATGAAAGAGAGCAAACCACAAGAAACAGTTAACTGAGGAAAATGGGTTCAGGGAGAGAAAACAGCAAATGCAAAGACCACGCCACAAAACCATGCCACTTGGCATGTTTAAAAACATCAAGAAGGGCTGGGCACAGTGGCTCACACCTGTAATCTCAGCACTTTGGGAGGCCAAGGTGGATGGATTGCTTGAGCCTAGGAGTTCAAGACAAGCCTGAGCAATGTGGCAAAACCCTGTCTCTACAAAAATACAAAAAATTAGCCGGGTATGGTGGCACTCACCTGTAGTCCAGCTACTCAGGAGGCTGAGATTGGAGGATTGTTTGAGTCCAGGAGGTTAAGACTGCAATGAGCCATGAATGTGCCACTGCATTCCAGCCTGGGTGACAGAGTGAGACCCTGTTTCGAAAAACAAAACAAAACAAAAATAAACAAACAAAAACATCAAGAAGGTACACAGGGTTGCAGCTGAGTGAGCAAGGGGAGGAGAAACAAAGATGAGATAAGAAAGCTGCCCAAGGGCCAGACCATGGAGGACTTGAAGGCCCAGGTACCGACCTTGGTTTTATGGTGAGTGGGGTGTAAAGCCGTCATAGGTTTGGAGTAGACAATGGTCTGACTATGTGTTTTGAGAGATCTCTTTGACTGTTGTGTAGAGCAAAGGATTCAGGATAAAGAGTGGAAGCAGCATGGCCAGTGAAGAGGCTACTCCAAAAGTCCAGATAAGAGATGCTAGCATCTTGGACAAGGATAATAGCCCTGAGGTGGTGAAAGGTGGTCCAATTCAGGGTACATTTGGGAGGCAGAGCCAGTAGGATTCCCTGATGGATTAGGCATGGAGGCAAAAGGGATCTCAAGGTTTGGGGCCTGAGTCACTTGAAAAATGAAACTGCCATTTATGAGATGGGAAAGGTAGGAGGAGAGGCAGACGGGGAGAGCAAGAGAGTGGACATCAGGATTTCTGCTTTGAAGGCATCAAGTCTGAGTGTTTATTAAGTAGACATGGGCAAGGCAGCGTCATCCACTGCTGCTCTCTTTTGCTTACCTCCTTGTGGCTTGTGAGGGCCTGCTTATTAGGTTCCTGTGGACCCTCCAACTTATTTCCTGCTTCTCTCCTTCTCAGCCCTGCCTCCTGCTATGCAAGCCTTCAGCCTCTTGAACAGGTTACACACCTTTTTGCCTGGTAGCCCTTCCATCCTCCAGGTTGCAACTAAAATACTACCTTCTGACAAGAGATCTTACCAGCCTGCCACCTCCTGTTAATCTCTACTTCAGTCCCCATATCTTACCTACATAGAGTGTTTCTACTTTCAGTTATTTAATTAATTAGTTGACTTGTCTTTTGTCTGCCCTTTCGGCCTCTCCATGCCCCGCAAAGCTGAAAGTCATAGCCAATATGCAGCCTGTGTCTGTCTCATTCTTTACCACATTCCCAGGGCTTAGCATAGTCTTTGCTGCACAACTTTTAACTTTTTCTTTTTCAGCTATAAAACCCTTTCCTGATGTGAAATCTTGTGCAGACCCCAGTATGCTTGTTCATTTATTCATTATGCAGATAAAACAGGTGTGACTCTGGTTGAATTGGGGCTGAGGGGTCCCATATTGTGGCCCCTGTCCTGAGAACTATTACCCGTGTTAAACCGGACACCTCCCCACACTCCAGTTATCAGTGTCAGAATGTCCAAGGCATCATACTTCCCGGGGCAATTAAATATCAAAAGAAAAAAAAATCATATCAACGTAAGATTGGCACCATTTCATTTTGCTAAATAAAGATATTTAAAAACCTCCTAGCTGCTAGCTACTCTATTAGTCAGAGTGTGCTACAGGAAGAAATAACCCTCCGGATCTCTTAGCTTCATACAATGGAAGCTTATTTTTCTCTCCCCCTACATGCCCAGGGAGGTTGGCAGTGTTGTAGTCACTGGGGAATCCAGGCTGACAGCGACTGAGTCTTGACATATATTTCCATGACCTCTGAGGCAGGACAATGGATCAAGGCAGACTGTCCACTGGCTTTCAGACATTCTGCCTGGAAGTGACATGTTCTTTTTACTTTTCTTTCATTTGTGAAGACAAATCACTTGGCCAGACCTCACTTAAACAGGGCCAGGAAGAGTAATCCTCCCACACGCCTGGAAGGTGAGAGAAGAGGAACAGTTAGGAAAATACCCATGGCTCCCATGGTTATGCTTGATGATAACAATCGTTTTATAAAAGGAAAGGCATTTTAATGTTCAAAACAATAAAAAAGAAAACTTCAAGTTGAATGAATTATCTTTATTTAAAACATACTCTTTGTCCTTATTTTTGTCACTTTTACTGTGAACCAGAGAAAAGCTATCACAGGTTGATTCTGGTCCACAGACCAGCATTTGTTAATCAATGCTGAACTACAAGCTACCTGAGTGGCCTCACCTCCTCACCCTCATACTGGTCCCTTTACCTGCAAGATCTTCCTCCCCTCAGTCTCCCTATATCCCAATCTCTCCATCTTTCAAGGAGCAGTCTGAAGTCACCTGCCAGAACCATCCCAAAGCAGGGTATATTCCCTCTGGTATCACTGCCCATGCCTCTTCAAGTCCCTGAGCCCTTCCTGCCTGATCTGTGCATCGTGTCGAGAGATCTGACTACAGATGAACAGAGATGCTGCGGTCTGTCTTCATCTGCACATGTTCATAGAAAAAGCGAAAAGGAGAAGGGCAAAGGTTCCCCCAATTAGAGTTTCCTTATGCTGAAGGAGAGGAGATACTCAGAAGGAACAGATGGCCTAGGCGCTATTTGGAAATCCTCAGAACTACAATTTTCCCCCAGAGGAATGTATTGACTGAGAGGCACAGATGAAGCGAAACTGCGGAGCAAGCCTCGGCACCTGGGAGCCATGGGGCAGCCCGTGGGGTTTGGGCCATTTAGACTTCTTCTCAGGTATTCCTGGGCTCTTATTTTTCAAGGGAGACTTGGAAGACTGCCTTGTTTCTCCTTCCTGGGGCATTTTTTCTCATGACACAAACTTCGGCCACTTCCCTTTCCTTGTAGGAGACCCATTTGAAGTTGGGCAAGGCAGAGCGAGGGGGGAAAGACCTGTGCATTGTCCTCATGCTAGCACAGCTCTGCAATCATGCAGCTGAAGTTACTGGGTCAAAGTAGGGCAGAGATGTGAACAAATCCATGATGTAAACCATCAAGGAGCAAAACATGACAAATATATCCAAATTTTGTCAATTAAAAAACAGATTAGAATAAAGTAAATTTGACTAAATCCATGATATAAAGAATTTTGTTAAATAGACTCAATTTAACCAATGCACATTGACCAAAGCTCAAAGTGATAATAATAATAGCCTAAATTGTCCAGCACTATATAGTTTGTTTGAAATATACTTTTGTATGTACTTTTCCACTTAATCCTCATAATGAGTGTGAAAGCGTGGATTATGATAAAGCTTAGAGAGGTTAGGAGGCTTATCCAAGGTCACACAGCTACCACATCAGTTTGAATGCTTTGGGCAGCAAATGTTGGGAAATAGGCTTAACCAATAAAGAAGATTTATTCTCTAATAATTTATTCTCTAAAAATCAGAATTCTAGGGTAAAGCAGGCATCAAATTTAGTTGACTTAATCATGGGGATCATTAAGAGCCTGTGCTCTTTCCACCTCTCTGCTATCCTCAGGCTGGCTTCGTACTCAGGCTCCTGACAAGACAGCTACAGGAGTGCCAGACTTGTCATCCAGACATAATCATGGCAGGAGGAAAAGAGAGATCATCTCCCGCTGGGTTTCTCTGGATAGTTAGAAAGCCGTTGAGGGGCACTACAATGTTGTACATAATAAATGTATCCCATTTTTAGTTTTCCATTAAAAAATAAAAAAAAATTAATGCAGTGCTAGGTTAAAATTAGTGCAGTGCAATTTAAAAAATCAAAAAATTAATGCAGTGCTGGGTTAAAATTATTGCAGTGCTAGGTTAGATGAAAGTAGATAAAACCTTTTTTGATGTACCAGCAACACTGGAACAGTAGAACACTGGCAAATTTTTTTCAATTTGTTCTGTGAAAATTAATCTAGTTAGGCTTTCTACTTCTCCTTGGTGGTTTGTATTTTTTTTTTCTTTTAGAAAATTATCCATTTCATCAGCCAGGCATGGTGGCTTATGCCTGAAATCCCAGCACTTTGGGAGGCCAAGGCGGATGGTTTACCTGAGGTCAGGAGTTGGAGACCAGCCTGGCCAACATATAGTGAAACCCCATCTCTACCAAAAAAAAAAAAAAAATACAAAAATTATCTGGACGTAGTGGTGCACGCCTATAGCCCCAGCTATTTGGGAAGGTGAGGCAGGAGAATTGCTTGAACCTGGGAGGCAGAGGTTGCAGTGAGCCAAGATTGTACAACTGCACTCCAGCCTGGGCAACAGAGCAAGACTCCTTTTTCATTTAAAAAAAAAAAAAAAAGAAAGAAAGAGAAGAAAATTATCCATTTCACCAAGGTTTCAAGTTTATTGATAATTTTTAATGTTCTGTTATAGTTAAAAATTAAAATAATTTTTACCTGTAAAAAATTGTTCTTACAAAATGGATAAATAAAAGTATTTGCTATGCATAATCAAAGTTTAAATTTTCATAATATTAGAGCCAAAATATCATTATTCATTATTTCATTAAATATGTTCTTACAACTTAAAAAAATAAGACAGACCATTCTTATTCTTCTTTTATCTCTTCCCTAATTCAGCAGCCAAGTTGCCTTGCACCCAGGCCTCAGATACAGAGCTGTCCCAGTAGATTCAGACTAGCATGGCATCTCTTTCCTATGACAAATGACAGTTGAAGTTTTAGAGAAGATTCCTGAAACTTGGAAGTTGTAGGGAGGATAGCTGGATCCTGATCCTATCCTAGCTAGCACCAATGAGGACTGGGAGGAAGAGGCTGGGACATGAGATGTATTCTCTTCTTTGTTCCTCACTCTATCTCTGTGGGTGGAAAAAATTACTCCCATTCTATAGATGAGAGACCAGAACCTCAGAGAGGTTAAGCAACTTTCTTAGGGGGCACAGCTAGGAGGGTAGGCTGAATAATGATCCCCCTAAAATGTCCACATTCTAATCCCAAAAACTTATTTAAAAAGGGACTTTGCAGGGGTGACTGAGTTAAGGATCCTCAGATGAGGAGGTTTTCATGGATTGTTTGGGTGGGCCCAATGTAATCCAAGGATCCTTTCAAGAGCAAGGCAGGAGGGCCAGAGTCAGAGAAACAGACACGACAATGGAAGCAGAGGTTGGGGTGATACTGGAGTGGGAGGGGCCACCAGCCAAGGAATGCAGGCAGCCTCTAGGAGCTGGAAAAGGCAAGAAAGCATGTTTCCTCCTCGAGCCCCGTCAAGGAACCAGCCCCACTGGCAGCTTGATTTTAATCCTGTAAGACCCATTTTGGACTTTTGAGCTCCAGAGCTGTAAGATAATAAATGTGTGTTGTGTTAGGCCAGTTGGTGGTAATTTGTTATAGCAACAACTGGAAACTAACACAGGTTGGCACAGAGGGGAGGGAGGCTTTGCGCGCAGGCCTGTCTGGCTTCAACCTCCATTTCATCATGGGCCAGGAGGCCTGGGTACCCAGCCTGCACCTTCCCCTCAGCAGGCAAATTTCTGGCCCTGTAAAATGACAGGATTGTGATTAGATGATCCTGGCTGATCCCAGCTACAGAAGAACACGCTGGGAAACTCTTGCCCTGGCCAGTGGAGGCCTGAACCACAGATGAGAGACCTGGGCAGCAGAGGACAGGTGGGAGCTGGTTAAGGGGAAATAACAAAGATATGACTGATAAGGGACTTGATGTGGCAGATGAAGGAGAGGTAGGACTTAGGATGAGGCCCCAATATGGCTTGACAACGATGGGGATGGGAGGGTACCATTCACCCAGATGGGCCATGCGGGAGGAAGAGCTGGTTTTCCCAGGAAGATGAGGTCAGATTTGAGCCTGTTGAATGTGACATTTATGTGGAACTGACCTGCGAGGGGGGGAGGACCATTTGGATCTAGGTGTCAGGAGGGTGGCTTGGGGGACAGCTGGGGATCTGGGCATTGTAGGTGAATAGCCACTGAATCTGTGGATTTGGCTGAGATCACCCCAGGAGAGTGCGAAGTGGGAGAAGAGAAGAGAGACAATGCTGAAACCCCATGGGAACTGACATTAAGTGACAACCAAAGGAAGATAACTCAGTGAAGGGGACAGAAATAGTCTAGCAGCCAGCAAACCAGTGAAGTGTCATGCATGGAAACCCAGGAAATACAGAGCCTCAAGGAGGGAGAATGGGGGGAAACACCAGCCAGCACTGCAGCATTTGACAGCATCAAAAGCTGACTGGAGCTTGACTAAGACATTCCATTAGGTTTGGGAATTTGGAATCCATTGGTGACCTTAGGGAGAGCCATTTCCCCAGAGAGGCAGGGGAAAAGCCAGATTGCACCGGGGTGAGGAAAGGAAGAGGGGTGACGATGCATGGATGGCAGGTTATAGAGAGATGTGTTTATTTTATTGGAAGATATGATACAAACTACACCAAAGACAGCCAGGAACCTTCCTGAACAAAAAGTACAAAGGAAAATAATACAGAATGACAAAACCTACTCAACAGCTTAACCGTAAGACCTCGGGGTAGTCTAAATCAGAGATGGATGACAGCCTCCCAGGAAAGTGGCAATATAAGACAGCATTGGGGATTCAGCGGGGCGACCACTGTCACCGCAAGGCCGCCCTGCAGACAGCACCTGTCCTAAGAGGGCTGCAAGCCCTGGAGAGCAACATTAAGGTGATGTCTTTCAACAGCTTCAGTTGCCAGCTGTGAATTCCAAGCCATCCTCTTACCTTCACTTTGGGCAGACGCTGACTCCTTGATTTTCTCATCTTTCTGCATTATCTTGGCCTGTGGATAGTGTCCACAAGAAATGAAGACTATAGGCTCAAGGTGGGGTAGCAGACACCACCAGTACCTGGCCGCAGCACCCCTATCTTTGCCATTTCAGTGCACGCAGCCAGACTTCCAGTTGCCAGCACCTATGGATATTTGCAGGTAGGCATTCTCTGGCCATCAGAGCCTGCTTTACTTTTTAATTTTTTTTCTATCATTACTTATTTTATTTTACTTTAAGTTCTGGGATACATGTGCTGAATGTGCAGGTTTGTTACATAGGTATACATGTGCCATGGTGGTTTGCTGCACCTTTCAACCAATCATCTAGGTTTTAAGGCCTGCATGCATTAGGTATTTGTCCTAATGCTCTCCCTTCCCTTTCCTCCCACCCCCTGACAGGCTTCAGTGTGTGATATTCCCCTCCCTATGTCCATGTGTTATCATTGTTCAGCTCCCACTTATGAGTGAGAACATGCAGTGTTTGGTTTTATGTTCCTGTGTTAGTTTGCTGAGGATGATGATTTCCAACTTCATTCATGTCCCCGCAAAGGACATGAACTCATTCTTTTTTATGGCTGCATAGTATTCCATGGTGTATATGTGCCACCTTTTCTTTATCCAGTCTATCATTGATGGGCATTTGGGTTGGTTCCAAGTCTTTGCTATTGTAAATAGCAGAGCCTGCTTTATATATGTGTGTGCAGATGGGTGTGTAGGTGAATTAACTCCACTCTCCCCCTCCCTGGAACAACTTGCAACAGACTGAAGGGAATTGGTGCATCCATACCCCAGCCCTGTCACCTCTCAGGTAGGTTAACTCTGAGGTGCAGAGCTCCACACTGTTTTCCACAATTCCCCAGTGGGATTAAGCTCCACCTGCCTATGGTGGTAACTAGCTTCATGGCATTCTCCATTGGTTTCCTTGCCTTGCCTTGCCTGTCTCGCTTTCCCACTTTTTGTGGGCTTGCCTTCTAAATAAACTACTTGCACTGGAGTCCTCTTCTTGAGGTCTGCTTCTGGGGCAAAACAAAGTCAGAGGCCTTATCTGATTCAGCGTGTGGCAAAGCTCCTTGTGTGTCCCTGGAGGCTGATTTCTGGCAGCTGTGAAATTAGTCACCTGGTCTTTGTCAGCCATTCACCCCTTCACTATCACCAGCATCCACACCTACTATGCTCTATCTCTGGGCTCAGTGCTTCACCAACATTTTCTCATCTAATCTCACTTGTTGAAGGGGCTCTGTGTGGTAGGTGGAATAGTGACTCCCCCCACAAAGATGCCCACATCCTGATTCCTGAACCCAGTGCAAATATTACTTTATGTGGCAAAAAAGACCTTGCCGAAGTGATTAAGAAACTTGAGAAGGGGAGATTATCTTGGATGATCTGGATGGGCCCAAAGTCATCTCAAGGGTCCCTAGAGGAGACAGGCAGAAGACTCAGATTTGGAGAGATGAAAATGTGGCCACAGAAGCAGAGGATCAGGGTGATTCGAGGAAGAGGCTATCAACCAACAAATGCAGGTGGTCTCTGGAAGCTGGAAAAGACAAGGAAACAGATTCTCCCTGGAGTCTCCAAAAGGAATGCAGCCCTGCTAGCACCTTAGATTTAGGACTTCTAATCTCCAGAATTGTAAGCTTATAAATCTGTGTTGTTTTAAGCCACGAAGCTTGTGGTAATTTGTTACAATAGCCACAGGACATTAATATGGCCTGCAGAGAGGTTAAATATATAGGTTCTGGGGCCAGAGGCCTAAGTGCCAAGTCTGGTTCTAACATGTTGTAGCCATATGACCTTGAGCAAGTTATTGAACCTCTTTTTACCTACATTTTCTCATCAGTAAAATGGGGATAGGGATGACATCGGACTCGGGGATGTTGTGAGGTTTAGATGAGTTAGTACAGACTTAGCACCTGGAATAGTATCTAAGATATGATAAGCACTCAGTATCTGCCTGTTATTATTACTACTAATATTTATGATAGCCTTGCAAAATGCATATTTTCATCTTCATTTTACATGCCCAGAGAACTCACATGACTTGCCCAAGGCCACGTGGCCGGGAAGACCCAGATATCCCAGATCCAACTGACTCCACTTTCCGTTCCCTTCGGAAAGATCTCACCTTCTCCAGGCTCAGTGGTTCCAGTGATTACAACTTACCCTACAGGAACCTGGTCTCCAGTGTCCTTCCCCATCCTGTGCCTTCTATGACCTTCCCTGCTCGGCCACTCTCCGTTCTGCAGTTGGCCACTGGCCCAGCTTGAGAGCATCTGGAAAACATTGATTTGCATTAAACATCACAATTTTCAAGGGACCACCTCATGTTGTCCTTGCAATAACCCTGGTGGGCAGGCTGGGCGGGGAGCATCATTTCAAGCATCATTTCAAGGCTGAAGATATTGAAGCTCAGAGAGGCTGGGGACTTGCCTCAGGTCATTGGGCCCTGGAGTGGCAGAGCCAAGGGAGGAGCTGGAGTTCCTGGCTCCTGACAGTGGTGCACCTTTCCCTCTGCCTGTCAAATCCTCCTAAAGGCTCCAGCTAACTCCCTGCTGTTCAAGTCCCAGCCAGTAAGAACTGCCATTGATTTAACGCTCATTTAAGGGAATGTGATATAAATCCTGCGTAGGTGGTCAGTAGCATGTACACATTTTGTTTCCCTTAATATTGCTTTAATTGAGTATCATTTGGGTAAGTACTTTGATTAGCAAATGTTTATGCTTCGTGAATTTAACAAAGTTAGACTTTTCCAGTAACTGGAAAATACTGAGTGATGCAATTATTTTGATTTTCGTGATAAACCAAATGGAAACCCAGGGTCCCTTGTCAGGGTTCAGTGTGGTACACTGAACCCAGCCGGGGAAGCCTGCGTCACTAGCATTCCCGGTGACAGTGAACAAATTCCTTCCATTCTCTGGGCCCCAGCAACTGCTCTGGGAAATGAGGCAGTTGGACTAGATAATTCCTAAGGGTATTTACAGCTTGAGGTTTTGATGATCCCCAGGCCAAGGTTCCTAGGAGCAGAGACATTCTCTCCCAGCCTGCAATACTGCGCCTCTGACCTGAGTCCTAGAGGACAAGGAGGGTTGGCCAGTGTCCAGGGGCCACATTGGGAACACAGCCCTTTGTGCCCCAGCCTTAGCGTGGCTACCTTTGTTTGCTCTCTGCCATCATGGGGGAGGCTGCCCTGCCCCAGCCCAGAGTGTTGCCAGAAGTGGCTGGGCCTCCTCTCCTTGGCAATGCAGAGTTCACATGGGAGCAACCAGTCAGCCCTGTTCAAGAGCCTCAACAGAGGGGGAGCTGTGGTCTCAGGACTGCAATCAAGGGCAAACAGCAGCTCCATCACTTCACCTAAAGATCTGTTGCCTAAAACCAGTTCGCTTAACAATCCATTTGCCTATTAATCCATCCATGGCTTCATTTTTTTTTCTTTTTGACATTGTAAAGATGATCTTTTCCTTAATTTAACAATGGAAGCTTAAAATTTAATTTTATATTTCCTATAAGATTCATTTTGGTGTGCATAGGGTTGTTTTATATTCTTGGGGGCGTCTTATAACCCAAACATGCTCAGGCCTTAGCATCTTGGGAACACAAGTAAAATTCCAGTGACACTGATGCCCAAGTCTTGCTAGCCTTCAGCCTCAACCTGGATAACCGGAGGACCTTGGCAGCCCCTCCCCCAGCTGTTTCAACTTGTCCACAGGGCTGCCTCACCTCTGCTCCGTAATGCATCACTTTCAGCCTTTCCTCCAGGGTTCCTCTCACATTCTCCTTCCACATAGTTCCTCTGAAGGACATGTGTCCCCCTAAAGTGTGGCTAAAACCACACTCGGCCTCTGGTACAGAAAGGGAGGTGAGCAGGCTCATCCCAGCTCCAGGGTGGGCTCTGTATGAGATGAGAGCCTTCCACTTTTTTATGAACATGGTCCGTTAACTTTTAGTCTGTACCTTCCCTTCAGGATCCATCTCTCAGGTCTGCAGGAGGGGAAACCATTTCTCATCTTTGCATACTCCCTCCAAAACCACCCCTCCCTTCAACCACAGATGAATTCCTCGTGCCAGTGGAATCCAGCAACTGGATTGAAAAGGCACTGAAAGCCCATTGGTACCACAAACTCCAATCTTTGAACATCAGTCTGATTTGCTGTTGTGCTGAATCCCTATTGACTTCAGTAGGGATGACACTATGTTCGAGAGGCTGAAGAAGAGACATGGAGCCAGCCAATGAGACATAGGATTTATTAAAAGGACTTACATACAGGGCGGTCCCCTGCCAGTGGTGGCAGGTTGGACAAAAGAACCATTGCTGCTTGTAAAAAGCATGCCATTTACACAGCATTTTCAATGAGCATCCTCCCCCTAACAACCACCACCTGACAACTTCATTTAACCCAAAATAAAGGGCCTCAATCCCCTGTATGGTCTGTGTTCCATGGAATGGGCCGGAGGTTCAGATATTCCTCATAGATAAGAAATGAATCTCCAGGTTGGCCACTCCCAGATTCCTTAGCTTGGAGCTTTGAACATATTCTTCATAGACCATAAGGTCATTCTCAGGATATGCCTAAGTTTTTGCTGTCAGGAGCATCTACCACACATTTGCATAGTTTATTTTTAAAAGATTGTATATCTTAATTGATATAAGAAGAGTTCTAAGATGAATCATTACAAAAATAAATCTTTCAATCCCCCCACTTCCAAAAGATAGCACAAAAAGAACAGGACATCTAAACAGTTTCAAAAACACACAAATGGGCTGAATTTTAGCCCAACTGCCCATTACAGAAATCCACCAACAGAAGAAATGGCTTTAGGTGAAGTTGTTTTAACAGTGAGATCTGTTAAAGCAGAGAGCCTATCTACAGTGGAATGTGGATCCTTGGCACCTACCTCAGTACCTGGGGCATTATAGAAACTCAGAAAATGTGTACTGCATCAAAGAATGCATGCATGAATGAGGTAAGCTCAGTGACTTCTATCTCAGCTTTGATGATACCCAAACAGAATCTGGGCAGAAATCTCTATTTACATGTAGGGATATTAGCAACTTCTTAGGACATTAACAAAATTCATTTTCATTTGGAAACTAACGAGGGCCGGGCAGCTTTTGGGAGGATAGGTCAGGAAGTCAACAGAGAAGGCGACCAAGGCCTTGTGAGTCACAGATCAGACTTTTCCTCTGGGGAAGGCCACAGGGGCAAATGGGTAGGTGCAGGTTAGTGTCAGGTCTGCCCACCTTGATTTTTTTGCTCATAGCTCAGCTGCAGGAGAAAGGATGGATGGATTTCTAGATTACCAAAAAAATTCTCCAGAAGCACAAAAGGGGGTTGAAGTGACCCTTGTGAGACTAAGACATACTAAGTTTGTTCAGTCATTAATTCCACAAATATTTACTAAGCACCTATTATGTGTTCAGCTCTAGGCAATAACAGAAAATAAGACACAGTCTCCTTCTCAAGGAACTCATAATTTAGAGACAAGTTAATAGAAAATTAGAATTTGCTGTGGTAATTAGAAGTACTAGATGCTTTGAGGCTATAAGCACCTAAAGTAGCCCTGCAGGATGAGAAAGGCCCCACAGTCTGAGCTCAGTTCTCAAGGATGAGGAAGGGGGAGTCTGGGGAATGGGGAAGGGTTGTGGGTGTCGGGTGGGGGAAGAATGATTCAGGAAGAGGGAACTGCAAATGAATGGATTGGAGGGAGAGAAGGAACAGCCTGGAATTCAATTCACAGCTCCTTCAGCTGTGATGGGATCCTGGGAAGTGAGGGTGGCCATCATTCAGGGCCTCACTGCTGGCGACGAAGTGTCCATATGCCACTTTGGGTATATGGAGGAGGCAGGGTAGAACCAGAGGGTGCCCTGGGGCACTGGGGTGGCCTTTCTGGAAAGTCACCATCAGAAGCCCTGAAGAAGCCCTGGAAAGCCACACCACCTCCTCTCCTGGCAAAATGTGGTGTCGTCTTAGTCCAGGAAGGTGGGGCAGAGGATTGAGGACATTCTAGGGGTCTGTTGCAAGAGAAGACAGCATCCAACTCTAAGAGGCAACAGAGGTAAGAGCAAGTTGGCAGGGTTAGCTGGCAGAGACGTGGGGTGATGAGATCCACTGTGAGGAGGGAGCTGTGAAAGATGCCCAGCCTGCTTGGAACATGGGCCCCATAGTAGCCAAAAGACTGGAAAATATTGTGGTAAAACAAGCCAGACAAGTCAGACAGGCTGATTTAATTCCTCCCCATTCCAATGTTAGAACTTCATTATTACCAACCAGGAAGACTGGCTGGCAGGTACCCCAGGGATAAGCCTGGAATCTTCAGATTTTGGGGATGTTATCTAAGAGCTCTCAGTAGCAAAAGGAGGGGAATTTGGGGCACAGAGTCTTTACAGATCTCTTATGTTTGAATAATATATTAAGAGTCTACCACTTTATGTCTGCCACTGCATAGATACTCACCCCAGACCTGCGAGGTCTGCTGGGTAGGGGTGTGGTAACATCCCTAGTTCATAGATAAAAATGGTAAGGTTCAGAGGGGTCACCCAGCTCTAGGAGGAAAAACCAGGGCTCAAATACTATGGCTTGCTTCCCATGATCCTTGCCATCTCCTATGCTTCATCACCTATGTGCTTCCATGCTGCAGATTTCGAGGTTTGCAAAGGTTTAGAAACCATTCATTCTACATGTGATCCCATGGGAAGGTGCTCATCATATATTGCCATGTGAAAAAGGCAGGCTGCAAACTGAATTGCAATACTGTTGCATTTTTGTGAAAGAAAAGTATGCCCATACACACTCTTCACATGACCATCGGACAACTTCTGAATGAACAAACACCAAAATAATGGCTATGTTTTTTTCTGGGAAACGGACTTTCCAGGAAATTTAAAAAAATTCTTCCTTACCTGCATTTTCTTTTTTTATTCTTTTTTTCTCTTCTTTCTTTCTCTTTCTTTCTTTCTTTCTTTCTTTCTTTCTTTCTTTCTTTCTTTCTTTCTCTCTCTCTCTCTCTCTCTCTTTCTTTCTTTCTTTGTCTCTCTCTCTCTCTCTTTCTTTCTTTTTTAGATGGAGTCTCACTCTGTCACCAGGCTGGAGTGCTGTGGTGCGATCTCAGCCCACTGCAACCTCCGACTCCCTGGTTCAAGTGATTCTGCTGCCTCCCTGAGTAGCTGGAATTACAGGCATGCACCACCAGGCCCAGCTAATTTATGTATTTTTTTTTAGTAGAGATGGGGTTTCACCATGTTGGCCAAGATGGTCTCAATCTCCTGACCTCGTGATCCGCCAGCCTTGGCCTGCCAAAGTGCTAGGATTACAGGTGTGAGCCACCGCGCCTGGCCCCTTACCTGCATTTTCAATGAATTAATATAAATTACTTTATTTAATTAATAATTATACATGGACATAAATTACTGCTTTATACTTAATATATTAATTGTTATTAATTAATGTGTTACTTCTTTTTCTGTATATGTTTTATTTTTTATTGACATAGTTGTACATATTTATGGGGTAGGGGTGATATTTTGATAAGTGTACACAATGTTTAATGATGAAATCAAGGTAATCAGGGTATCCATCACCTCAAACATTTATCTTTTCTTGTGTTGGGAATGTTCCAATTCTCGTAGCTATTTAGAAATATGCAATAAATTATTGTTAACTATAAAGCTGTGGTCTCCCTATTGTACTGTTGAAATTAGAACTTACTCCTTCTAACTGTATTTTTGTACCCATCAACAAACTTCTCCTCATCCCCTTCTTCCCCTACCCTTCCCAGCCACTGGTAACCATCATTCTACTCTCTACCTCCTTGAGATCCACTTTTTTAGCTCCCACACATGAGTGAGAACATAAGATATTTGTCTTTCTGTGCCTGGCTGCTTTCACTTAACATAACGTTCTCCAGTTCCATCCACATTGCTGCAAATGACAGGATTTCATACATTTTTATGACTGAATAGTATCTCATTGTGTATTTAAACCACATTTATTTATTCATTCATCCATTGGTGGACACTTAGGTTGATTCCATATCTTGGCTATTGTGAATAGTGCTGCAATAAACATGGGCATGCAGATATCACTTCAACATACTGATTTCCTTTCTTTCGGATATATACCCAGCAGTGGGATTGCTATATCATATGGTAGTTCTATTTTTAGTTTTTTGAGGAACCAAATTATTTCTTAATAAGGAGGATAGTGAAGAGCTGAGGAGTGGAGGAGATTTCACAGCTTATAGTGACAGCTTCTGAAAAGAAACACTATCCATGAGGGCCAATGTGTTCTAGAAAAAGAAGTCATATTCAGAAACTGGCCAATAAGCTCATGTCAAAGTGTATCAGAGTGTCGCACAGGGTCTGTCTGAGAACTCAGCCTTTAAAGGCCAGGGAGGGGACATCTACATGGAGACAGACCAGCTGTCCAGGGATAAAGAATGAGACCCTCTGCCTGCACTCTTTCCCCTCTGGCCTTTCTTACTTCTCCCTGGATGAGCCCCTCCCCTCTGGTCTGCCCAGTCTCCTTTCCGGCCATAGATAAAACATAGTCCATTATTTTAATCCCTTACTCATTACTCTCCAGGATTTTTGTTTTTGCAGAATACTGTCCAAGACAACATACTGTCCATCTCTCCAGGCCGTCTCAACTTCACCTGGCACATACACCAGTGCTCTACACATCAAGTGCACCAGATTTCTGGGGGCTTCTGAACACTGCAGACTTTCTCCCAGTCTGGGCCTGTGACTACGTATGTTTGTCATCTTTCCTAGAATGTTCAAGGGTGAGCTCAAATATCACCTCTTACAGGAAGTCTTCCCAGTTGGATCATCTCCCAACTCCAGTCTCAGTAGAATTATGTTAATTATGTTTCTCCCTATTTCTGCCATCATTGATCATGTATGCCTCCACTGGCCCTTTCATACAGAATTCTTTGATTCATATGCACACCCATATCCCCCACTAGGTTATGAGCCCTTGAGAGCAGGGACCATACCTTGAGACAAACTAGAGATGTTCTGCAGAGGAAAAGTTAAAAGCACAGACTTTAAAGCCATATTCATGGGCTAAAACCTTAACTCTGTCTAACACTATCAAATTCTGCAACTCTGGGTAAATTACTTAAATTCTCTTAATCTCAATTTGTCCATCTGTGAAAGGGGTTACTGCTAGCACCTACTTTAGAAGGCTGTAAAGGAAAATGGGTTAATGCATATATCTCCTTATCAGAGTATCTGATTCTTAATGAATGGCAGGTGGTATTATTATCATTCATAACAAACAGTAGTAGTAGTAGTAATAGCAGCAGCAGCAGCAGCAGCAGTCAGCTCAGTATCCCCAGCACAGGGGCTGCCAGGCACTCCATGAATGTTTAGTAAATGGAAGGGTGGATCAATGAGGTCCCTCACTGTCTTCCTCTCTCCCTTCCCGCCCAGAAAGCAGACAGAGGCAACAACTGGTTTGGGGGCATTGCTCCATCTCCCAGCCTCAGCCTGAGGCATTCTTTATGATCTCAAGACCATACTCCTTGAAGCTCAGTCTCTAGGATTCACAAAGTTGAAGTGATACACAGACCAGCATTTCATGTTCTCCTTTGATCTCCATGAATGAATGTTTGGTTGGAGAGACAGGGGAGAGCTACCGCTGAGGTAGATCCTTAAGATCCTCCTCTACCCTATGCACACCTCTTGAGGCTCCTAACAACACCCCCTGCAAATAGCCGTGAGGTGGAAGCCAACAGAGAAAGCCTTATCTGACTGGCAACCTCTTGGCCAAATTCTTCATGGTTCAGACTCAAGTGGCAGCAGCTGAAACTCAAAAGGGTAGCTGAAGTCGTGCCGAAGTCCAAAAGCCTGGAAAGGCCTGGGATGCCCTGATTGTCTGTCATGGTGGGGAGCAAAGAGCACAGGCTCTGAAATCAGGAAGGCCTGGGTTCAAGTCCTATCTCTGCTATTATCTGGCTATGAAACTTTGAGGAAATCCTTAAGCTTGCCTAGCCTCAGTTTCCTATTTTCTCTGTGAAGACTGACTGAAATGCCAGAAATAATGTCTGACTGACTCATAATAGCTGCTTAATGGATATCACTTTCTTCCCCTTGGGCCCGATCTCACTCAAGCCCCATGGGGGAAGTGAATGTCTTTCCAACTCCTACCATCCCAGAACCTTTCTACGGAATGTAAAGGAGGTTGTATTTCAGCCTGATCATAAAAAAGGAATACAGTTTGGAAGTACAGAGAGAAGAGAAGGACATTCGACACAGAAAGACTTTAATGAACACAGGCCCAGAAGAGAGAATTCATGTTACCTAATGTAGGGGAAAAATGAATCAATTACATTCTGGCCCTATTTGGTCAGGTAGTTTAGACAGAGCTTTGTTTTTCTTTTTTTCTTTTCTTTTCCCTTTCCTGTTTGCTTGTTCATTTTTTAACTGTCTGCGAGAGGTTAAAGCAATCTGAATTAAGTTAGTTAAATTGACTTTTATTATTGAATTATAATCATTTGTGCAATTATAAAACCAGGTGTTCCTGATTGAGATCAATTATTCCTTCACCTGATCACTATAGAGCTAATAAGGACTTAGAATTGCCGTTCAAGTATACTTCCAGCCGCGCTGAAGCCTTCTGGAAAGGCATTTATTAAGCCAAAGAGTGGTGGAAAAAAATCCAGGGAAGAACAAGGACAGAGATTAAAATCCTTTAGGAAAAGGCCTAGAAAGGCTGATTTGATCATCAAGTAGCCTTGATGGGTAGCTGGCTGTTGACAAGGGATCTTTGAGGTATTCCTACAGGAACTTTGATTGGGGTGGGGCGGGCACGCAAGTGGGGCAGGGAATGAGGATGACAAAACAAGCATGTCTAGGGAACAGCCAGTCAGAAACCCATTTTCTGCTGTGTTCCTCTGCTGAGGTGGAGTTGCCCTTTTCTCCTTGTGAACATTTCAGTTCTGACTCCAAAGGAATGATGTGGAAAAGCCTTGGCATCCTCTTCCCCTGTGTGAGGAGCATGAAAAGTGTGATTTCTATTCTGGGAGATGCAGGTTCCAGATTCCCAAAGTTCTAGGTTCTTCACATTTGTCCGAAAAGACTTCTGTGAGGAAGACAGCATAGTAGTTATTCTTTCCGTTTTACAGGTGGGGACCCAGAGACTTGATCAGTAGACTTGCCTATAGTCACAGAATTAATGACCAAGATGGGCTTGGACGGAGCCCCTCAGACAGCAAGATCACCCAGTGGTCTTTTCCTCACACCTTGGTGCCCCATGTCCCATTCTAGAGGCAAGTCAGGGGAGTGGATCATCTCTGCAGTGGTTTACAAATCTTGAATTAACAGAGTAGCTTAAAAACATGCCCTATGCAGGCCGGGCATGGTGGCTCACACCTGTAATCCCAGCACTTTGGGATGCGGAGACGGGTGGATCACGAGGTCAGGAGTTCAAGACCAGCCTGGCCAAGATGGTGAAATCATGTGTCTACTAAAAATACAAAAATTAGCCAGGCATGGTGGTGGGCACCTGTAATTTCAGCTACTCTGGAGGCTGAGGCAGAGAATTGCTTGAACCTGGGAGGTGGAGGTTGCAGTGAGCTGAGACCACACCACTGCACTCAAGCCTAGGCGACAGAGTGAAACTCTGTCTCAAAAAAATAAAAAATAAAAAACAAAAAACAAAAACTAAACAAAACAAAGAAAACACGCACTATGCTTGGGCCCTCCCCTAGACCAGTTAAGTAAAAGTCCTTGGAGCTGGGTCTGGGTACCACAGTATTTTAAAAGCACCCTACGTAATTCAAATGTGAGGCAGGGCTGTGAGCCACTGATGTAATGGGTGGGTGGCTTGTTAGCTAAATGGAGCCAAGATGGCTTTGGAGAATTCAGGAGTTGTGCAACACCCTTTGGATGGCAAATGCCAGGTATTTAATTCAGCTACATTAGCTTGGTTATTTGCAGAGGGATTTATTAGGAGACCAATTTCACCAAGATAGAGTGGAATCTCAAGGACAAATCTCAAGGAGTTTTCTACTCCAGTAGTAGAAAACCACTTGATTTTGCCTGCCCCATATCCACAGCCCTCATCCCATGTTCTCTCTTTGTAGCCACTTCATTCGTTCCTCACACTGTTTCTTCCACAGTACAAGGTACCTGCTCACCAAAGACCCCAGAGATCTCCACTGTTGAAGATCTGAGACTTCTTCTTCATCTCATTCTTGGCCAGGTACCTACTCCAGGCCAATCAGTTTGGTCACATGTGACTAACATTGTGACAGCCCCACTCAAACTACAAGGCTAGAGTGAGGGAAGGGATCGTTTTACAGAAAGGGGATGCTGTTCTACCAAGACAAACAATAGAACCCCCATGGGATAGCCATTGATAGAGTTGGATGTTTGTTCCCTCCAAATCTCTTGTTGAAATGTAATCCCCATTGTTGGAGGTGGGGCCTGGTGAGAGGTATTTTCGTGAAGACAGTGGATCCTTCATGAATGTCTTGGTGCTGTCCTCACAATAATGAGTGAGTTCTCGCTCTGAATTCATGCAAGATCTAGTTGTTTAAAAGACTGTGGCACCTTTCCCTCTGTCTCTTGCTCCCACTCTCGCCATCTGATATGCCTTCTCCTCCTTCACCTTCTGCCATGATTGGGAATTTCCGGAAGCCCTCACCAGAAGCAGATGCGGGTGCCATGCCGCCTGTACAGCCCGCATAGCTATGAGCCCCAATAAACCACTTTTCCTTATAAATTACCCAGTCTCTGGTATTCTTTTATAGCAATGCAAGAATGGCCTAATGCAGCCACCATCTGTGGCCCTCACCTAGGTATATCAGCAGCTGGACCACTCTGCAGAAATGCTTCAATAGTTGCCTCGACCAAGGAGAGTTAAAGTCCTGCTGGTCTGAAACCTCATACCACCAAGGAATAAAAATCTACATCTTTGAAAGCAGCACAGTTTTGGCCCAATCATTTCATGAATGCTGGGCAGCTGGACCAGAAAGGCAGAGGAGCTAGGTGCGGAGGCAGCTGGACACCATGTCTGCCCTCCAGTCTGCCAAAGACTCACAGAGCCTTGGATTTGAAATGGAACTCTACGTTAGTCAAAAGATCTTTAAGTTGCAGGTGACAGAAACCCAACTCAGACTGATGTACCTGCATAAGAAAAGGAATCTATTGGCTCACAAGACTGTAAAATTCAAAGTATTTGCTTTCGGGGTGGCTGTGTTCAGAGCCCAGACAATGTCCCACAGGCTCAGTTTTATCCTTTGCCTCTCTCAGTTCTACTTGCTCCTGTGTGGGCTCTGTTCTCAGGTGAGTTCTCTCTTTTCAAAGACAAGATGGTCACCAGCTTCAGATACCCCTGCAGGAAGTCAGCATCTTTTTTTTTTTCCAATGGAATTATCAAAACTCCAGAGTTTCATGCCATTGAAATAACATGGGTCCCACACCTGAATCTATACCTGTGGCCAGGAGGTGATATTGCACAAACTGAGAGTAGGGGAAGGAAAATTGTAGTGTGGATGGGGAATGGGCAGAATGGTATGACAGATGTCCTTTAAAGATGCCAAAGTCATCTAGTGTGACAGGCCCCAACCCACATGCCAAAATGTATTCCGTGATGCCTTCCCCAACCAACAGCCTGACAACGGTTTAGCAGTTCCTTCTGCCCACCTCTGATTTTGTATAGACAAAATACGCAAAAGTCACTCCTAGTGTGAACCTGCTCAGACAGAGTATGACTCTGTTATCTTGGTACCCTTACAACCTAGCATGGAACTTTGACAGAGAAAATTATTAGAGTTATGTTGAACCACAGGACTTCCAAGAACCACCAAGTTAAGTAGGAAAGGGATCACAGAGGCTGGTAGGATGAGCTCTGAAGCTGGGCCAGATCTCTGGTGTCAAGTTTCAGATCTGCTCCTGAGTCACTGTGACCCTCAGACAAACAACTTCTCAGATCTTGGCTTTGTCCACACGATCTTCCCCAACTACCTGTCAGGATTACTCAGAGGTTTGTATTAAAAGACAAGTGAAGCAAGTTATTAAAAGCAAGTTATAATTGTCAAGTAATAGCATTATGTTTCTCACTGATAGAATAACCAAGAGCTATGTTCAGAAAAAATAGCCTTATGAAAAACAGTTTAAAGGTGGAAAAGACATGCGATGGTGGGACAGCCGTGCAGCATGGAAACAAAGTCTGGGGAAGAATGGTTTTAATATCAAATGTGTGCTCTGAAGAAAACAGTAGAGTGGGGGATGTAGGAGAGTAGAAGCATAAGCTAGAAATCCACGGAGCAAAACCAAAGAAGACGGCCATGTTGGAGGGGAACCCCCAGCACAGTTGGCTGCTGAGCTATTACCTAGAGGAGCCTCTGGGTGTGGTCCTTCTGGGCCTGGCCAAGAAGGGAAGGTCTTGGCCATTCTTACCCCTTTCTCATCTGCACAACGAGGGCCCAGAAGAGCCTTGCAGACGGATCATGACCAGATCCAATTTTGTCTGCTGACACCAAGCTGCTCCCTTCCCTGACACTGAAGGCCGTCTGGCTTTCCTCACTGTCATCTTGGGCTGTAAGTAACCCTCTTAAATCACCATTGGACAGAGAAAAGCTAGCAGCCTGCTTTGCAGCTCTCCTTCCATCCAAGCCATTAGTATGTTTAACAGCTCTGGCCCCATGCTGATTTCTGACATGCGGTAATTAATTCCTTTCCACTCAGAGATGTAGCCATTCACAGGTCTTGATTCAAAAATGTTCCTGTTCTGTTCTGTTTGAAAAATACTTAAAATGCTGAGTAGAAAAACCATTTGGCTTTTTGTGAAGGCCCACTAGTCTCTATCCCACCCTTATATGAAACTAAATTCCAGATGTATTAATAATTTAAATATACAATATGAAACCATTTAAATACTCTAAGGGGAAAATTTAAACAACATTTATATAATGTTATTATGGGAAAGGTCTTCCCAAGCATGTCATCAAAGGCAGAAACCGTAAAAATCAAAGTTTATGAATGTATTCATATCGAAAATGTAAACCTCTGTATGGCCTAAATTGATAAAATATAATTGGATTAAATTAAAAGGAAATGAAAAATTTGGGATTCTGTTTACAATGTACAAGGGCTGCTACCTATAATGATAATCATGATGATGATAATAATACTGGTTAATATTTATTTCTATGTACCAGTGTTACTATATGAAGAATATTAACAATTTAAATCACAAAAGAAAAAAATCAATTGGTAAATAAACATGGAAGAGCATATTCTATTTTACTTATAACTGTAGAAAAGCTAATTAAAACAATAATAAAATGCTACTTATGAAATTAGCCAGGGCAATAAAAACATTAATACCCAAATGTTGGTTAGAGTGCAGGGAAATAGCCCTGTTCACACATGGCTGTTGGGAGTCTAAATTAGTACAAACTTTCTGGGGGGGAAATTTGTCAAAAGCAGAAGTATGAATTCATTTCCACATTTAGGAATTTATTTTGGAGAAATAATTAAGGATGTACACAAAGATATAGCTATAAGATGCTATTTTAATAGTGAAGATTGGAATTAATTCAAATGTTTAACAATAGATTTGTAAGGAAGTTGTCATATATCCATATAGAAACATAGTGTGCAAACATTAAGAATTAAGTTGTAGCTGTATATTTATTAACATGGAAAAGGGTTCATAATCTATTGTTAATAAATAAAGACAGACTAAAATGTATGCTCAGCATATAAAATCTCATGTTTTGCAAAATTTCACAGAAAAAATGCCTGGAGAAAACATCCCAAATATTAACAAACATTAGCAAAAAGTTATCTCCTGTTGGTAAAATTAGAAGAGATTTCAATTTGCTTTTGTTTACAGGTATTTTCTATTTTTTCTATAAGGAATGAATATTACCATGTAATAGCCCTTACAGAAATGATTACTCATGATTCATGTAAGGATTAAATAATGTAATAGAAAGTGGTTTAAGGATGCCCCTTGAATGGTAACTGTCATTTCCAAAGAGAGCCCCAGGAAGGAGAAGATGATCAGAAATGTTGGAAAGGATGAACCTAAGAACAAGTGTAACTTGAATAAACTGACTGTATGCAAAGAAATTTGGGTTAGGGGATTCTGAAGAGTGAGCATGGATGGAAAATATGGCCATAGGCCCCCCCATTTGGAGAGTTTGATAGAGTAGAACAAGTTGAGAACATAAACAGAACCAAGAAAGACAGCAGGTCAAAAGTTGATGGTTTTTTCTTTTCTTTTGGAATATTATAAAGTTTTGAGAATGTTTTAAAGTGAAGAGAGTTTGTGCAAACTCATGCAGATGTCTGCAAATGATCAATTTAAACTACATGTTATTAAAACTTCTCCTGGATCCATAGTATGTGATATGTCCCCCAGATTGGCTCCCTGTGTTTCATCTGCAGCTTCTATGGATGATCCCTATCTCTCTGCAAGTTTACACAGCCATGGTAACTGTTAGCTACCCTGGGGCAGTGAGAAATGCAGCAGTCTTGGGCAGGATTCTCAAGCCCATACCTGGAGAAGTCAAGCTAGACATGATCTGAGGACCCTGGTCAATTGGAGGATGTCTTGTTCTTAGGCAAAATATCTTACAGCATTTGTACCATAAGGAGACTTGAAGATGACCAGGCTAACCGCTAGCCAGGGCTAGACTCCCCTCTTCAACTATTCTGTTACTCAGTTGTCTGGCCTTGTTCATGTACCTTCAGTGACAGGGAACTCACTACCCCAATGTGCTAAACACTTCATGTCTAGAATTTCTTTTTCAAATCCATTATAATTTTTTAATAGATTGCTATTCACTGAAGAGAACTTTTTTACTTTTTATGTTCCCTTTCACACATAGCTATTGTGAATATAATTTATTAATTGAGAAACTGCATTTGATAATTCCAGTCTCCAGAGACCCTGTACATCTGTTTCTGTTGTCTGTTGTTTTTGCTGACTCTCTTGCCTAATTTTCTTCTGTGCTTTGTTATCTTTTGTATTGACCAGAAATTGCATTAGAGAGATTACTACCAGCAGTAATTTGAGGCCCGTAATGAAAGTGAGTTCCTCTCCAAAGGATTTGGGTTTGCTTCTACCAGGGATCTTGTTAAAGTACAGATTCTGATACAATTGGTCTGGAGTGGTGCCCAAGAATTTATGTTGCAGATGAGCTCTCTGCTGATGCTGCTGTTGGGGATCTGTGGGCCACACTTTGAGTAGTAAGGGACTAGAAAAAAACTCAGAAGACTGGAACCAGGCTGTGATTCTATGAGGGCTATGCCATTTCTGGTTCTCTCTCATCCTGGGAGTGAAGTCTCTGGGATTCTAGCTTGTTGTGGGAAGGGTTTGCTGGGAGTTGCCTCTCTGCTGTGGGCCTAGGCTTTGATTTTATTTCTGTTCCCCTCATTTCTCAAGGCTGCCAGAAAAAATATTTCTGATTTTGAGAAATCGGCACATGTGTGCTCAGAGCAATAAACTTTCTGTGTTTGCTTACTTTGCTAAGTTTTCGTTTTCCCTTTATTTTTAATTTGGTATTTCTAATATTTCTTTTGTCATCTCTTCAATGGTTTTAAGAAGATTTTTTTTTAAAAATGTATATTTTCCATTGCTTCCAGCAGGAGGATTGATCTAAATAACCTACTTCACTGTTCCCAGAAAAAAGAAGATCTATGCTAAGCACTTCATACACATTAACTCATTTAAGATTCTCAAAATAATAATATTCAAAGAACCTTCTAGCATTCTCTCTTTCTTCTAGGTAAGTCTTCGCATACATCTATAATAATGATTATTTGTTTAGAGACATTTATAGGATTCGCTGCTGTCATTGATGCTTGTTCTTCCTTTAAGGCTCCACTCAGCCTCTGCCATTCTAAAGGTCTTTCCTTGATGTTCTGCCTTGGCTGGGTCCCTTCCTTTGACAGCCTTCTTGTGACCCAGAATTTCAGAATGGAGCAGCTAAAAGCAACCATAAAGTTTCCCTTCTCGTTCTACAAATGAAGCGTTGAAGCCCAGGGAAGAGAAACAACCTGCTCAGGGTCACACAAAGAATTATTGCTGCACCTGAGACTAGAACCCAGCTCCTCCTTACCCAGCCTGACAGCGTTTCCAGGTCACATGCGAATCCTTCGTTATGTTGAGCCAAGCTCGCTTATCTGCAACTTTCGTGCAGTAATTAATCAAGAAATGGCAAGATGTGTGTCTTCTAAATCCGGGAAAAACACCAAAAGAGCTTGGTACAATTTAATGTAATTTATATCTGCCTAGTTCTGAGGATAAAGGTCTCCATCCCCAAACAGCTGAAGGCGGGGGATGCAGTCAACAGACACTACTGAAGGAGGTAACAGTTCACAGGGTTTTATTTTAATTGTCCTCTTCAATTTAATTTCTATCTGTGAGACCTCTGAAATCGAAGGAGCCCCGAAACGCCATAGAATACACCCACTGTCCTCCTGGAAGTCTTCCAGTAAAAACAGCTTCTAATTAAATAAATTAGCTCTGCCATGTTAACTTCACATAGCAGAGTAAGACTTCCAGTGACAAGCTTGTTTGACTGTACTGTCAGTTTATTACTTGTTAAATAATCATTGAGTCTTGCTGTTCCTATCCATCTTACAACCTTTCACTAACTGAACATAGAAGAATTGTAAAATGAATAAACAAACAAACAAACAAACTAATCATCATAAGGAAAAATAATGGCAGTGCTTAGGGAAACATGTCTGAAACCCATTAAGAAAGGAAGCAAAATGACTAATTCAGGAAGTGGGTAGTAACTTATTCAGTTACAAGGTTACAACTCATTCAATATAATTTCTCAAACTCTTAAACTCCTGGCCCCAAACACTGCCCTGACCATGTGTCCTCTTGAGCCCCATCCAACCCCTGCAGACACACATACACATACACACACACACACACACACACACACACACACACAGCCCCACCCACCCTTGTCTCCTCAAAGGTTCCCAGGCATACTCCCGTGCCTCTGTCGTTGGAGCATGCTATTTCCTAGAATGCAACACTGTATGCTTTTTTCCACCTGTCAAAATGCTTTTCAGCCTTCAGGGCCCGACACCAGCTTCCCTGAAGATTTCTCAGGGATGAAGCTGCTACCCCTACTTGTGGGAATCCTCCTCCAGAAAGGCTAGGGAGATCCATCCTCTCTGGAAGGGACTCTGGCACCTGAAGTGTGACCAAAGAATCACATGGATCCCTACCACCATACTTACAAGTTTTTTAGTATCTGTCCCCTGCAATAATGGGACATGCTTATTATACTAAGAAGTTATTTATTGTTTTATCTGAAATTCAAATGTAACTGGGTATCCTGTATTTTACCTGGCAACCCTACTCAAGATGTTTGGCATTGCCTGTGGCAGTGGTTCACACAAGAGAATATTTGCAGGCTCCACTTACTGCCTTAGATGTTACTAGGGCTATGTGCAACTTACTAGACAAAGGTTCACTCACTACTTTGTTTTGTTCCACTTAATAATGCAAGAGAGTGTGAATTATAAGTCAACTTGAACCTCCTTGAATGTGTCTGTATATGACTCTTCAAACTTTTGTAGAAATAACAACAACAACAATAATAGCAATAGTAATACTACTACTGATATCTATATTGCCAGGTACTATGTCAACAGCTTCACAGATACTAACGCTTAGGCCTCATAACAACCTTGTCAGGTAGGTGCCATAATTATCTCTACAATACAGATGAAGAAAATGAGGCACTAGGCACTTTAATAATTTTCCCAGGGGACAGTAGGTGGCTCATGATTGGTGAGTAGCAGAGTTGGGATCTCCTCTGCTGCCTCCTTCATGGCCAATACTAATACGTTACTTGTAGCTTTTCATGGCTAATTGTAACATACCAGTGTTCTGTGACTTTGCAGTTGCAAACAACAGACTACAGGATCAATTCCAAAATTATTACTTTGGAGTCATGACTTTTAATGAGTTGATGCAGATTACTTTTACAGGTCAAACTCCTGATATTCCACATCTCCATGTTCCAGTCAAACTTCTCCATGTCCAGCATCTCATATGGTCTCTGGAAGAGATGAGTAGTTGCTCAAAACATTTGCCTTTCATACCTCCTGCTTTGTGCCATGCTCTGTGATGAATTTCAATGTTGTCCTCCTCTCAGCCATCATTTCTTCTCCAAAAGGAAAATTTCTACTTATCTTTAAGATCTAACACAGATGTCACCTGCCTTGTGAGGGCTCCCCTGCTTTTCCCGAGCTGTATGGGTTCTCCCTCTTTCTCTGCTCCTTCAGGACTTCAGTACTTAGATCATGGCCCAAACCCTGGTCTCTGGATTTTCTAATCAGCACTGTCTGCTGACTCCATTCTACCTCCAGTGATCTGCTTTTCCGGAACTGAGGTTCTCCATCTTGACCAAAAGATTTTGATTCACTAGACTCCAAATCAGCCATGGAGCTTTGTAATATACAAGTAATTGGTCCCCATGGCCCAAAATTCTGATTGAGCAAGTTGGATGTAAGAGCCAGACATTGATATTAAGGAAAGAAATCCACAAGTGGTTCTGAGCCACAGTTCAGAGCCACGGTTCTGAGTAGCAAGGGATATTCCAGATCAGCTTGCTGAAGTCGAGCTGTGTTCTTGGTACCTGGTAAGACACATTTCTCTCTACTGGCCATGCCCTTACATTCTGAGGGTGAGTATAACTGACAGTCTAAAAAATATTTTGGGGAGGCCAGGCACAGTGGCTCATGCCTGTAATCCCAGAACTTTGGGAAGCTGAGGCAGGAGCATCACTCGAGCTCAGGAGTTTGAGACCAGCCTGGGTAACATAGCAAGACCCAGTCTCTACAAAATAAATTTTTAAAAATTAACTGGGCATGGTGGTGTACACCTGTCGTCCCAGCTACTCAGGAGGCTGAGGCAGGAGGATTGCTGGAGCCCAGGAGTTCGAGGCTGCAGAGAACCATAATTGCTCCACTGCATTCCAGCCTGGGCAACAGAGAAGGACCTTGTCTCAAAAATAAATAAAAAGAGTTTTAGGGGGAGAATCCTTAAGGTCCCTTCCAAGTCCAACCTTCTGTTATCCTAATGAGATTTTCTGACATGAAATTCAATGTCACTTCCCCAAAGCAGTGCCACTAACTACAGTGAGAGCAAGGAAAGGTAAAGATGTTTGTTTCAGGTAACAGTAGAATTTGTTTAGAAGAGAAAGACTTCTGAATTGGTTAGTATTATCTCAGGTGGGGAAACTGAGGCTCAGAAAACTGTAGGAAGCTTCCCACGTTTCTGGTTTTTCTGCCGCAGCCCCACTTGTGTCTTCAAAAACCTTGTTCGCAGTCCCCCTGCCACCAGGTCCCCACTGGGGATATTTGGAAGTGAAGAGAAGGACCCCCAGTTTATATCAAAGCAAAGAAACCATACCCTGGCCATCCAACCAAAATTTAATTTTAAATGAAATCTAGCCTCATAGAAGACACCCCCCAACACACACAAAATATCACACAATTTAACAAAACTCCGAATCACTGTAAAGCAGCTGCATTTAAAAAAAAAATTAAAATTGAATTCTCAGGCATAATCCAGAGATAAAAGTCAAAAAAGCCAGTATGCAATGATTGAGTATGCACGACCACAACCCTTAATCTCTGCCATCCTCCGCAGTGTAAACAAATCTGCTGATTGTTGATGATATTGCTGAAAACATCACTAATCAAACCTTAAATACCAAATATATTTAAGCAAATAACACTCCAGTTACAGTCATTCTAGCTCATCATGAAGGAAATCCAAATCGGAGACCAGTTTGAAAATGGCCAGAGCTATACTGTAGCTTCGCATTAATTGACCAACATCCTAGAGGCAGTGCTTTCTCTTAAGTACAGAAGGCCTGAAATACAAAAGGAAATAAGGAAGAAGTCCAGGAGGCAAACGCTAATGCAATTTCAAACTGGAATTACATCAGCAGCTTTAAACAGATGGCAGAATGGGAATAAATGTGTTAGCTCCTTTCTCTTACTTAGGCTTTCATTGTTTATATCATTAAAAATAAGGAGAGTTTAAAATAACATATATCGTCATGTAGCACCTCACAGAGCTATGCAAAACTAGTTTGAAGAAAAGATTGAATTTGGTCATACTCCTGGATGTTTTGAAAACAACTGGGTGAATTTAATTAAGTAACCAGCTGGCTATTTACAAAAATTGTAAAGGCAACACTGATTATGGCTGAGCTGGGTATAGAAAACTGGATAATCCAAATTTGGTTTCAGAACATTCTCCTGTTGATGAGAAGGCTTGGGTGGGTTATAGAATGTCAGCCTCCATCTTTCAGTGAAGCTAATTGATTATCTAGTCCAAGGATGGCAAATAAATGCCATGGATGTCACCACTCTCTGCTCCTAGTGTCACCAACATCACTAACTTATTAGGGTAAGCTTCTATCTGAGATTTAACCTTAGAATTCTTCTGAGGATACCTCCAGCTTTTTCATGACAGACTGGATATATGGAAACCTGTTTGCCCTCCCTAATCTAGTCCAATTCATTCATTTTTCAGAACAGGGCACTGTCACTTATAAAATACATTGCATTTCACCTTGTTCCTTCTTGAATCACTTGCTTTGCGGGAAGCCAGTGCCATGTTGTGACACTCAGTCCCAAAGAAAAGTCCATGTATCATGGAACTGAGGCTTCTTGCCACCAACCAGCACTGATTTGTCATCCATGTGGGTCAGCCACTTTGAAAGCAGATCTTCCAGCCCAAGACAAGCCTTCAGATGACAGCAGCTCCCGCCGATATCTTGACAGTGACCCCATGAGAGACCTTGAACCAAAGCCACCCAGCTAGGCTTCGCCTGAGTACTTGATCTATAAACACTGGGGTAATCAATGTTTGTTGTTGTTTTAAATACTAAGTTCTGGAGCAAGTTGTTACATAACATTAGATACCAGCTACAGAAGGAAATGAGGGAATGGCTGTAAAGTGCTATCTCTTTGTCTATCTTAGGTATTATTTTCATATAATAACCTGTTTTTTAGGTCACTGCATTTCTCCTTTATTTTGTATAAGTCACTTGACATTTCCCCTTGATTTCTCCTGCAAGTGAAAAGTAGAGAATCAACCCAGCACAGGTAAGCTGTCACTAACAGAGGATGTGAAATCTCAAGCCCCAGGAATGAAATCCGGAGGGTTTGAACCCACCCTGTTTCCCCACCCCTGTATATGGGATTCAGGATGGTGTGCTTCACAGTGACACCCCCGAGACCTCATTGCCTTCTATTAGCATCCAGACTGGTCAGCTTCTCTCGTTAACATTTCACACTGAGCCTTCTGAATCCCCTTGATGACTTTTGCGTACACTAATTGAAGGCTTTACTTTAGAAGAGAAAAGATAATCAGCAATTTTTTTAACCTACTTTCGTGCTACCAGAAAAGCATTATGGATAAAAGCTTACCAGTATTTTACACAATTAATCATGTTGAACAAAATGATATGCCTCATATTTCTTGTTTATCTGTGCTTTTCTTCAAAACCAGAGATGGATATATAATTCTTCGTTAAGGGTGACTGAACTTTTTATAAAATTAATTGCTTTTCCAGAAATTTAGACTTTAAAAAAAATTTTTTTAAAGACTTAAAAATTTTTCAAATTCTGTCATCTTTGGGTGAGAATGAGTTTTTTGTAAAATCACATTGGGATCCCAAATATTTGCAGGTTATTTAAATCATGCTTTCCATATTTGTCTCTTGTATATGTTTTTATTCAAATACTTTAATGGAATTGGTTGGATTTGTTCGGCCTTTTACCTAAACAAATTATCCTATGGCACGAAAACATTTTCTAGGTTATATAATACTTAGGAAATTGTCCTAAGGCTAAGAAGCCGGTCCTATTACAGTTTAAAAATATTTTTGTATTCTTATCATGTCTAAAATAGCAAATCCTAATTTTTCTTACTTTTTGCCTTAATTTAGTAAAATTAAAACTTTTTTTCATGATTTCTCACATACATATTAATATTTGGATCTGTTTTCTTGCCATCCCTGACTCTCACCAAGCACTAGGTCTAAATGAACAATAGAGAAGTATAGCAAAAAAGTCTCCTGAACGTCAGGGGCACTAGATCCTAGTCTGGTTCTGTCACTGGGTGACGGTGGGAAGTTTTCCAAATTACTTTCATGCTTTGGGACTCAATGTTCTCGTCTGTAAAATAGTGTCTGGTGGATGATCTCCAAAGTCCTTCCAGATTTAACATTCTAGGCTGCTGGATGAAGCATTGCAGTCTCACCTTGTGATAGCAATGAAAACACTTTGCTTCCCGATATGAAACAATGAAGTTAACACATCACCTCTGACCTGTTAGGGACCCCCAAAAGACATGTTTCACCTCCTTTGTCTTCAAACAGGTACAGAGCTGTCATTCCCATTTTACTACTGCTACAGACTGAATGTTTGTGTCCTTCTGAAAATTATATGTAAAGTCCTAATGTCCAAGGTGATGGTATTAGGAAGTGGGACCTTCAGGAAGCGATTAGGTCATGAGGGTGGAGCCCTCGTGAATGTAATTAATATCCTTATAAAAGTCAGCTCCTAGAGAACTCCCTTGCCCATTTGATCACGTGAGGACACTGCAAGGAGATGAATAGAGGGCCCTCACCAGACACTAACTCTTCCAGTGCCTTGATCTTGGACTTCCCGGCCTCCAGAACTATGGGAAATAAATTTCTGTTGTTTATAAGCCTGTAAACAACTACGGTGTTTTTATTATAGCAGTCCAAACAGGCTAAGACAACTACCGAGAACAGGAACAAGGTATCTAAGGTTTCTAGCCATGATTGATTCGAGGCCTGCCTGGGTAGCTTTCTCTGGATGGGCCAATATTTAAGAAATTAATTTTGTTTTCTGATTAATCAGTAATGCTAAAAAAAAAAAAAAGTCCAAATAGCCAAAGAGAATAACTAACATTTATTGCATGCTTACTACATACTAGACATTGTTCTAAAATCTTATCCGTATTAAGTCATTTAATATCACAACAAGCCTATGAAGTAGACACTATTAGTCTCCCATTTTACACATGAGGAAACTGAGGCACGGTGATTAAGCAACTGATCTGAAATCACATGGCTCGGAAGTGGCAGAACTGGGATAAAAAACTGGGTGGTTTGCGCTCTTAATCCCTTGCTGAAGACATGAAAAGATATAGATCTTCTACGTAATCAATAAAATGAAAACAAACTACATACTGTTTGTTTTAATCCATTAAGGCAGCAAAAATTTTAAAAATTTAAAAATTAGTAATAATATATAAAGTGGAGAAGTATAAAGGCAAATGGGTATTTTTCACATATTTCTGGTGGGGGTGTAGATGGGAATTGTAATACAAGTTGCTTTTTGTTTTTTGATGTCTTCCTAGAGTACCACACACTCATGTACAAGACTGCAGGATGTGATTAAATTGTAACAACTGAAAAAAAAAAATCACCTAGAGTTAGGGAGGGGAAACCAATCAAATTGTTTCAGGGTCACTAGGGGTAGGGCCTGAGCATTGGTTTTATTTTAAAGCTCCTCACGTGATTCTAGTGCTCAACCCGGACTGCAAGTCTCTCAGTTCGGTGAAATATTACGCTTTTTTTCTTTTTTTACTGAGACATATCTATATGTAACTGATGTGGATAGCAAATTGCAGAATATGAATGGTATGATGTCATTTATGTAGAAACAAAACAATACTGTGTAGTTCCATGGGCATATATACATATATGTGAGTACAGTAGTCCCTCCTTAGCTGCAGTTTTGCTTTCTGAGGTTTCAGTTACCATGGTCAACCAAGGTCTGCAAATCTTAAATTAAAAATTCCAGAAATAAACAATTCACAAGTTTTAATTGTGTGCCCTCTGGTTCCATCCCACCCAGGGCACAAATCATCCCTTTGTCCCGCCTACCCACCTTGCATCCACTATCCACCCATTATTATACAGGAAAAAGCACAGTGTATTTAGAGTTTGGTACTATCCGCTGTTTCAGGGATCCACTGGGGGTCTTGGAACATATACCCCAAGAATAAGTGGGGATAAGGGGGAACCACTGTATGTCCGAAATGTCTAGAGAGACGATGCCAACGTGGCATGTGGTTAATTCTGGGTAGTCGGGAGAATAACTGGATTTGAGGATGGTGGTCAGATTTTAGCCTTATCAGTAATATTTTTAATGTCTTACAGGTAGATAAAAGTAAAATTAAAAAGAACTTATAGATATTTCAAAAATGGGGACATGAAAGCAATACAAATGTAGAAAAAATATAAAATACCACCTAGAAAAATAAATTATTAAAATTTTGGTCTATTTATTTCCTATATTTTGTCTATGCTTGCATATAAATTTATTTTAACCCTTTCCCCCAATTTTATATAAAATAGAAATTATTTTATGTTGTTTTTTCCCTTGGCACAGGTTTTCTCCGTGGATGCTCCTGTAGCTTGTGCACCAATCCCCGATTTCCAGCCACCTCTCACTGTGCCCCCATCCCTGATTTTCCAGCCACCTCTCACTGCGCCCCCATCCCCGATTCCCCAGCCACCTCTCGCTGCGCCCCCATCCCCAATTTCCAGCCACCTCTCACTGTGCCCCCATCCCCGATTCCCCAGCCGCCTCTCTCTGTGCCCCCATCCCCGATTCTCCAGCCACCTCTCACTGTGTCCCAATCCCCAATTCCCCAGCCACCTCTCACTTTGCCCCCATCCCCGATTTCCCAGCCACCTCTCACTGCACCCCAATCTCCAATACTCCAGCCACCTGTCACTGTGTCCCTATCCCCGAGTCTCCAGCGACTTCTCACTGTGCCCAATCCCCAATTCTCCAGCCACCTCTCACTGTGCCCCCATCCCCGATTTCCAGCCACCTCTCACTGTGCCCCAATCCCCCATTCTCCAGCCACCTCTCACTGCGCCCCAATCCCCCATTCTCCAGCCACCTCTCACTGCGCCCCAATCCCCGATTCTCCAGCCACCTCTCACTGCGCCCCAATCCCCCATTCTCCAGCCACCTCTCACTGCGCCCCAATCCCTGATTCTCCAGCCACCTCTCACTGCGCTCCAATCCCTGATTCTCCAGCCACCTCTCACTGCGCTCCAATCCCCGATTTCCCAGCCACCTCTCATTGCGCCCCAATCCCCGATTCCCCAGCCACCTCTCACTGTGCCCCCATCCCCGATTCCCCAGCCACCTCTCACTGTACCCCATCCCCAATTTCCAGCCACCTCTCACCGTACCCCAATCCCCGATTCCCCAGCCACCTCTCACTGTACCCCAATCCCTGATTTTCCAGCCACCTCTCAGGCCCTCCATGAAAGCCTGGGTAGGGGTGTGAGCTAGGGTGTGGTCCATAGCTGGGGTAGGGACCATAACATCACATGGATAATCGCTTATTGGGGTTTGCAGAATTCCCCTAGCCCAGCCAGAGGGCCTGGTATGATAGGGGATTTAAAGTGTTGGAAAACAGAAACCCGGAAACAACTCCTTTTAGAGTATGAGTTTATGACTTGATTTTCACACACATTTTCACTCTGTGTGAAAGTAGGGGGTCACTCATGTTTGACTTCATCCCCCCAAACGGGATGGAACTGTGCAAAAAAACAAGAACCAGCTTATATGATTGAAAAGGGAACAATCTGACATCGCTAACCCTCTAAGGGGCTGTGACTACTTCCAGTCTGCAGGTCCACAATTTAACTCAATTGGCGCACTGCAAAGTGTCTGTTCTGTGGCTTATTTCAAGCACCACACATGCTAATGAAGCAGCTCCTTTGTGCTAGGCACTGGGAAGGGCACAGGATGGAGACAAAATATTAAAGACCTTGTTGCTGGTCTTTGGCTCCTGTGGTCCAGAAGGGAAGATGTTTACATGAAGAGTCTTGATTCAAGGCAGATTGTGATGTGCACTGTCACTACCAGAGCCCTAATCAATCTGTCACACTTGAGTGTTATAATGGGAATAATAGGATGAAATTCTGCTATCCTTACATTCATACACATGAAGGGAATGGGAGCCATTTTTCTAATTGGCTTGCATGGATTCATTCTTGAACTCAAAAAGAAGTCACAACCCTACTGTGGCTGGAATGTCCTCTCTATGTTCATTCATGGGGCTGTCTAGAGAAGTATGGCTGCATTTTAACTCCAGGTCAAGGGAGGCTAACATTAAATACAGCCCCTTAATACCTGGGAGGCTGTGTGAGTTTTAATCTTTCTGGACTCCATTTCCTCATCTGTTCTCTTTTGAGAAACAAATGAGTTAATGGATGTGAAAGCAGGTTCCACATTTTAAACAGCTATAGAAATGCCAGGCTGTTAAATAGATTTTCATCAGAGCTGCAGGTTTATCGAATGTTTATATTTAATCCTTGGAGACCCTCGCTTTTATTTGAAATGCAGTATTCATCTGCTCATTTTTTTGTGAGACTAATCTTTTTATCCAATGTCTTGAGTCTGTTTGCTAGAAAGCTGTCTAGGTGACAATGTTAATATTCAAGAGCCAATCTGAAAACACTTTCCATCTAAGAAGTGTTAAAAATCACAAATGTGTATCTTTTTAAAAATTGACTTTATCCATTGTTTTACAACCTTGGTGAAAATATTGCCAGTTTTTAACATATGCCTGCTATGAATATTTCTGCTGCTCTTTCTTCATGGGTCTGAATGTAGTTCTTGATTTATTCCTTTTAAATAACCTGGTAATCCCTGGAGGAATATCACAATCTATAAGTAGCACTATTTACAATAAGATGGATTTTCCTATCTTGCTAATTAGAGTATTAATTTCCATTTACAAGTGGTTAATTCCTAGCATCAATCCTTGTCCTGTCACTGGATGGGGTCATTATTTTCAGAGAAAGCCCCAGGAATGTCTTTTCTAGTCCAATCTTCAGTTATGTTACCACATAACAGAAAAGGAGAGGAGAAAAATAATGTCATTTCCTTGGTGTTAGACTAAGCAGGCATAAAATCACTTAGGTTTATTTAACACACTCTTCACACAAACAGAACTGCAGCAGTCTGGATTTCATCAGTTTCTCAAAATCATTTTGATTGTCCTCTCTGCTTTATCCTTCTACAACCAAACCAAATCTCATCTGTGCACCAGGTATAAAAGCATTACCATCATCATTGCAATATGTATATTCCCATTCCACTCCCCTTGCAAATTTCACTCCATCTCCAGGTGTGAGAAGAAAATCGTGCAGCAAAAAAATTTCCCCACATGCTCTGTTTCTCTGCTTTGAACCCTCAGCCACAGCTGCCAGCAGGGGCACCTCAAGAGCTTTCAGGAATTCAATCAGTTCCTAGATAAGAGCATAACAAGATATTATCTTTCACACTGCTTTTCTCTATGACTTGGATTTTCTACTTATTGAGTAGTCTAATAATTTCCTTTCTGATGGGACACAGGGGAAACAAAACCATGAGGATGCTTCTAGGGCTGGAGTTCAGGAGTTTAGGAACCCCCACAAAACAGGCTGGCCCTTTCCCCTTGTCTCTTATTATTGGCTTCAGGACAATGGAGATCGGAGGATGATCAAGATGTAAAAAGCAGCAGAGACAAAAGTCAAGGTAAGGAATGTAAACCTGAGCTGTACAGAGGAGGACCCAGAATCCAGTGACCAGGCTGCAGTGATGGGCAGTGTTGGCCATAGGACACTGGTCCAGAGTCAGTTCTTGGAACCTATGTAGGCTTCTCATAACATTTCGTCTTTGTCCTCAAATTTCAGAGCAGGGACCAGGGACTTCAGAAGTCATCTAGTCTTTTCTTCTCTCTTGATTTGTAACTCACAGTTTTCAAGGCACAGGAATTCTAGATGTAAATAAGCCTAAAGAATGACCCATCCTACTTGGAGCAGGGGGACTGAGGGCTGAGGAGAGATGTTTTGAAGAACAGAATGGAACTAATGAAGGATTCAGTGTGTCTGAATGTTTTAATAGGAGTTTTACAGCTTGGTCAGAGAACTTGGGAAAAAATTAATGATAAATACACAGAGAACTATGCAAATTTCTAAAAAGAGGCACTTACCAACTCTAAGAAAAAATGTACAAGAAAGGAAATGAAACCATAGTACACTCTATAGCTCAGCTGTAAGTGTAGTTTATAGGATCATGACATTGTAAACACTAAATAATGATCTAACCAAATATTGTAATGTGATTATGTTAGGAAGATGGGAGAAGAAGGGTGTGAATGGAGAGGCAGTGAGGAAGAGAAGTAAGTCAAAACTTCCTTAACAGGAATCTAATAGATGGTATCTAAAATGGAAGAAAAGAACTATACCTTTTATTTCAAAATTGGAGGGTAAATTCAGAAGAAATCACTATACAATTTAAAGTGCTTGCTACTTGAGGTGGAGCAGTAGTCCTCTGGGGTAAAGACTTTTTTTTTTTTTCCATAATAAATCTTGTAGTTCTACGTTAAAGGACATGGACTTTTTAAAGGATGTTTGTGCATTTTAAAGGGAGTCACTAGGACTGTCCATAAATATTCAATGTGCTGTTGAACTTAGGTGATGCCAAGTGATGTGCTTTGGTTAATGAAATGGGCCTGGAAGTGGGGCTTCAAGAATGAGCACACAATCCACCACTTTCCTTCTATCTTGGTGTTTGTGGATGATGGAGCTGGATTTTCCCTGCCCTGTGGTCCCTGTGTAAGAACAGCACAGAGCAGAGCCCTGCAGTCACCCTATGACTGACATGGAGTATGAGTAAAATGAGGGCTTTTGTAGTTTTAAGGCGTGGAAGGTGGATGTTTGCCAATGCTTATAACTTAGCATCTCTGACTGCTATAATCACTTCAATTAAAGTAGACTCAAGTAAAAAAGTGAAAAGATGAAAATAGCCAATTCTACCTATGTCACTGAGTGTGGAGCAAAGGGTGGAGAAATAAGAATCAGAAAAAACAACTGTGAAAAAGACTTCTAGGTATTTCACATATCATATATATATCTAAGCACACAGTGTATATACACATAAACAGAAATTTCAAAATGCATAAATTATATAGTATTTTTATAACACTATAAATAGATAACACATGAATTATATATATACAAAACATGTAGATTATATAGTACATAATCTAGTAACATAACAACGTTACTAGATTATGTACTATATAATCAGATTATCTAGATTATCAGATTATCTAGATTATGTACTATATAATCTATTTTTTTATATATATAAATATACATAATTCTGCATATGTATATAGGCAGAATAATGGCCCTGAAAGATGTCCACTTCCTAACTTTTAGAACGTGGGAAATATGGTACCTTACATGGCAAAAGAGACCTTGACAGGTATGACTAAGGTGAAGGACCTTGAAATGGGGGGATTATACTGGATTATTCTTGTGGGCCTAATCTAATTACATGCATCCTGAAAAGCAGAGAACCGTTCTTGTCTGCAGAAAGCCAAAGAGATGGTTGTGTGAGATGGACTCTGTTTTCTGCTGCTGGCTTTGAAGATAGAAGGGGCCACAAGCCAAGGGAAGCAATTGATGGCTAGATCTGAAAAAGGCAAATAAATGGATTTCCCACTACTGTCTCCAGAAAGAAATGTAGCCCTGACAACACCTTCATTTCAGCCTCATGAGATTGGTGTTGGAATTCTGACCTAAAGAATTCAAAAATACTAAATTCGCATTTTTTAAGTCACTAAGTTTGTGGTAATTTATTATGTCAACAATAGAAAACATCCACACACACACGCACACACATACACAAATTTTAATGGAAACCAAATTGGGATTTTGAAAAGTTAAATATAAAATTAAAATTTTAAAAATTGTCAACATGTTTAGAAATAGAAATGGAATGCTTATAGTAGGCCTTAAAAATAAAAATATATTGGCCGGGGGTGGTGGCTCATGCCTGTAGTCCCAGCACTTTGGGAGGCCAAGGCAGGAAGATCACAAGGTCAGGAGTTTGAGACCAGCCTGGCCAGCATGGTGAAACCCCCGTCTCTACTACAAAAAAAAAAAAAAAAAAAAAAAAAAAGCCAGGTGTAGTGGCACATGCCTATAATCCCAGCTACTTGGGAGGCTGAGGCAGGAGAATTGCTGGACCCTGGGAGGCAGCGGTTGCAGTGAGCCGAGATCATGCCACTGCACTCCAGCCTGGGTGACAGAGCAAGACTCTGTCTCAAAAAATAAATAAATAAATAAATAAATAAAATATATATATATGAATAATAATATCTTCCAAAAATGTACTGGTAAAAAAATCTAGGGTATAAATTTGAACTCTGTTACTTGCAGGGTAAATTTGAACAATTCACCTGACATCTCTGGGCCTCAATTTTCTCATCTGTAGCAACAATAGAATAAAGATTAAGTACATGAACATGCTGTTACTATTTGTTTAGGACAAACAAACCTATGTAATAGGTGATCATTAAATGCACCAAACCAGTAACAAAAACAACCTACTTCACTTGTGTGTGAGTCCCAATTCTACAACTTATTAATTGTTTTAGTCATTTACTATTTATAATTCTCAACTTCTTCATATATTTATGGAGATAATAAGACCTTTTGCATTTGCTGTGATGGTCAAATGAGATAGTGTTTTAATAAACACACATAGAGAAATAATCTTTTTAGAGGCCAATACAACACTGAAATGGAGGGAGCAAGAGTGGAAGCTGGGAGACAAATTAGAAGGGTAGGGTTATATCAAGGAGAATGGCAATGTTGACTTTGGACAAGGATATAAACCTAGAAAGTCAACATGTTCATTATCTGGACAGATTGATTAAAATACTTCACATCTCTGTGACCAACATCATATGGACATATATGAAAAGTCATGTCATAATTAGAATATCATGTGATGAATGTGGAATCAGGCCAAGGAGGAATGTCAGTCCACTGAGGCTGCTATAACAAAATGCCATAAACTGGCTGGTTTCTAAAAAACAGAAGTTTATTTCTCACAGTTCTGGAGGCTGGGAAGTCTAAGATTGAGTCACAGGGCACTGGCAGATTCAGTGTGGTGAGGACCTGCTTTGTGGTTCCTAGTTGGCTGTGTTTTCATTGTGTCCTCACAAGGCGGAAGTGGAGAACTCTGGTCTCTTTAGCCTCTTGTAAGGGCACAAACGCCATTCATGGGCTCTCCACTCATATGACTTAATCATCTCCCAAAGGCTCCACCCCTTAATACTATCACACTGAGAACTGAGTTTTAGTATATAAATTTTGAGAGAATACAAACATTCAGACCACAGCAGGGGGTTAGTCAGAAGGATCTAATGTTTAGTGGTCAAGTGTTGAGAGGATACATTCTTCAACAATAAGGATGAATTTGCCGAGAAAACAGGGATGTTCTAAGTCCGTTGGACACAATCCCTTGTGTGCATCTTCACATTCAGTATACCCTTCCCATTAGGGCTGTTGACCAAGGCTCTCTTGTCCATGGAGAGCAATAGATGGCCAATAATAGTGTAAGTCCCTATGATTCTCCTACTCCTACTGGCTCCCATTGCTGGCAGGCTGCTGATTGGCACATTTTTTGCTTCAGCTAGGTTCATATATTTAATCACACAATGGTCAAGGCTGGCCCCACAGGGCCGTTAAGTCAATAATTTTCAAAAGTTTTACCATGGCTCATTGAATAGAGTAAAAATCACACAAAATCACCCACTCTACCCCTTTCCACTTCCCAGCAGATAAAGAATATTGTGATCAAAATGAGAGAGGAACAACATAGTATTCAAATCATAACAATTCAGCAATTACCCCCAAAGGGTATCTATAAGGATAAGACCTGTATATAATTTTACAAAGTGCTTTAATTAATTAAAGAATAACAGCAATTGGAAGTCAGATCCAATTCATGACAGCTATGATGATGCACTGATAACAACACATCCTGCCTAAGCATCTTGGGAATTCCAACTCTTTGTTTTCTGTGCGGTGTTGGACATTTGCCATGCTGCTCAGTACTGTGTGTAGCAGCTAGACTTCTTATTAGAACACCAAGTTAGAGTTCTTAATAAACCCTGGCTCCTTTTTTTATAAATATCAGATCATAATATCTTTCAATGACCAACTTATTCATTTTCTGTTTCCCTTAGCTATAAATAAATACAGTAATAAATAACATCTCTTAAGTATTTACTTTGTTCCAGAAAGTCTCCAAAGAGCTTTTTGTGCATTAAAAAATGAGCATTCATGGTATTTCCAATCATTCATTGGTAAGAAGAAAGTAATTACATTTTTGGTTTAGCTTGTAGCCTGTCAGAAGCCCCCATAAACACTGCTTTAAGGTAATTTGGTGTGTCTCTGTCCTAAGCCATATGTACTAACTTTGAAGTTTGACTCCCAAAAGCCAATTTTATTTTCCTTAGTTTGAAATTTGGAGAACTATTTTTTGTTGTCTCCAAATCCTGACCACAGTATATAAAAACATTTGCCAACTATTAACTATTGCACATAAGTAAAGGTTTTAGACTGGAGACTGGCACTAACACTCCCATCGCCATTTAAAAATAAGGAAACGGAGGCCCAAACAGAAAATAACAGGAGATATGATGTTTTCAAGGCCACTCAGTGAACAGGCAGAAGAGTCGGAACCAGACCCCCGTCCCCTCCTTTCAGCACCTTGCAGAGAGCTCCAAAATACTGAAATCATGTTCAGCCTTTCCTGGCCCATTTTCCACATACAGTATTATCAGAAAAGCAATTTTCTCCTTCTCCTGATCTTAGCTTAACAAATGACCCAAAAACTTTTAGAAATTTAAAACAACAAACATTTATCATACAGTTTCTGAGGGTCAGGAATCCAAGAGTGGCTTAGTTAGGTGCTTCTGGCTCTGGGCCTCTCACGGGGCTGCAGATAAGGTGTCGGCCAGGGCTGCATCATCTAAGGCTTGACTAGGCTGCAGAACCTGTATCCATGCTCACTCATGCGCCTGATGGCTGGAGGCCTCAGTTTCTCACCACACGGGCCTCTCCATAGGACTGCTCATGGCATGGCTAATGATCAGAAACAAATGTCAAACTGAAGAGCTTGAACTTTATTCTACACAAAATGGGGAGCCACTGATGATTGATGAGAATAGCTAAGAGTCTTTTCCAAAGCCTTTTTTAAGGATTCATTGATGTCAGTCTACTGTTTAATTCTCTGGGCTGAGGCCATTCTATGTTGACTAAAATACCACTATGAATAGCCAACAGAAACTCAATAAAACAAAATTTGGTAGCATAAATCCTGCAAACACCCTATGGTGACACATAAACATTACTGAAAGAGAAGCAGGGGATAAC